>NC_000003.12:116129816-116432846 GCF_000001405.40 Homo sapiens | reverse complement strand
ATCACCACAACAATCAACTGCTTAAAGACTACAAGATATTACTTGATTGGATAAACCTCTAGATTGGGCATGAAAAAATTTAGCCTTTAGTTCTGCAAAAACCATTACTGTGTAAAGTTGGGAATTAGCTTCCATTGTTCCAACTCCTACTTGTCTTATAAGCAAAGATGTTGGTCTGGTGAAGTGGCTTTACGTTTTTGAATATAGCTACATTCACAAGAAGAAGAAATGCCAGAAGTTATAGATAGAATGATAATATGCACAATTTTTTTAAAAAATCCTAAATTATATTATAAATATCATAATATAGAAAACTTTAAAAATATGTTTACATTAATGCCTTCATTCTTGCATAAAAATAAAACAGAACTCAAAATCTAATTCTTCTAAGAGTATGTATTTGTACAGGATCTGTTATGAAGTATAATTAATTTGTATCATGAATATATTTAATCTATATAGTGTGACTGTATTTGAATACAAGACCTTAACTTTATTTTTATTTTTGTATATATTTATAATTATATGTAAAAAAGTAAAAGCATAAATGTGATTTTTATATGTACATAAAATTTACGTACACAAAATATGGACATGAATATTACTTTGAACTTGGGTCACGTCACACTTTAATAGGAACCTAATTAATTTGTTGCATCACTTATACAGAAAACCAAATTTTTAAGGGTATCAAGCATGTAAACAGATACGATATATAAGAGGCATCACACAATGGCTACCGTAATTTTTTTGATTAGTATGTTTTATTTTTAATTAATCATGCAAGGTGCTAAGATTATATTGTAAGGGGAGTCAGACAATGTTTTTTGTTTCTATTAGATCTTGGCAATCATATAGTTCATAAAAAGCAAAAGGAAATCTAACACTTTCTTTTTCTATTTGCTATTATAGGACAAAAATTAATGCTGCCTTAGCTGAAGGAAAAATAACTGTATTTTTTAAAAATATAATTTAATTCTTTGAATTTGTGATTCCAAGTCCATACTAAATTTCTATTTTCTTTCAAAGTCACAAAGAGATCTAGTGATTTGTTAATGAGCATGCTTAATGAAGATGACTGGTGTCCACTGGAAGAGAAGAATAATGTTTACCAAGTGAAATTCTCAAAATTATGCTATTATACCCTTTGCAATTTTTAAAATCCAGGGCATATGAAGACGTGATTAGAATAATATAAACAAGTTCAGCTGTAAGACTGATATGCATTATATCCAGGGCACTAATATAACTTGAGAGCATAATTATACAAACACTATTACTAACATTAGAAAATCTGTAGAAAACAGAAACAGTTTCATAATGGTGATGTAAAATATTGTCCTAATTATAACTACAAGGGGAAAATCATATTAAATCACTCTACCCACCAAAAGCCTACGTGCTAGAATGTAGTGTTAAATAGATTTTGAAAAGAAAGCAGTGATCACTAGAAGCCAACATGTGTTCCCTGGGAACAAAGTATAGCGTGGCAAATAGATTTTTTTTAAATGAGCAAATATAATTCCAGGCTGTTGGATCAAGGAAATGCCATTTACTTTGAGTATCTGTACTTCAACAGGCTTCCAATAGACTTATTAATATATTATGGGTCAAAAATGAGCTAGATTTTTTTTTCTCAAGCAATTACGCCAAAATAATACTGATTGATAGTGATAGAGGTCTCTCTCATTCTCTCTCAGGCCAGGATCAACACTTGGATAAAACCATAGGAAGCAAATTTTCCATCATGTGTATGAGACAAAGATAAGGGGATAGCTGAGGTGTTTGTTGATGGAATTATAAGGTAAATATGGATGAAAACTATAGGGAAGAAAATTTTAGTTAATGTTAAAAAAAAGTTATTTATGTGTATTTGTGATTATACCAAATCTCATTCAAAAAAGAAGAAAGGAAGATGAAAAACAGAAAGAAAGAAAAAATATGGTAGTTTATAATTTAAATAGGACATAATTTAATTAAATAAGCAAATCTAGTTGAATGACATAAAAATGACCATTCAAATGGCATAGTAGAAATAACACAGTTTCTGGGCCAGAAGACCTAGCTCTAAGTATCCCCCTATCAATTACCAGCTCTGCAAACATTGATAAATTATTTATCCCTACTAAGCCTCTGGTTCTTTATAAAATAAAAATTATAATAATGATATTAAACTTCTCACCTAAGAAGTTCATTATAAGAAGGAATTAGAAGTATCTATAATTATATTTAGGCATATCTTTGGATATAGGTGTATTTATTTTGTAAATGTCAAGTTTCTCTTCTGCCAAATGGAATGGCTTTCCTGTTAAGGAACTACATTTTCATCTATTTTAGTATTTAAGTAGACCTCTATTAGGAAATATTATTAAAATAAAAACAAAAATAAAAACATCTTTATGGAGTAGAAGATTGAAATGGGTGATTTCTCAGGTCTCTGCTAGTACTTATATTTCATAATTATGTGATATTCTGAATTCCCTCTCTAGTTTATTTTGGATTTTTTTAATGGAATTCTATTATTACTTTGCTTATGAAGAATTTCATTTGGAAATATGTTCTCTAATAATTTTCAGTGTGTTTTAATATTCATGCCTCTATTATTTTCTTCCCACTGGAGAATTTGCAAACATATCAAAAGAGAGGGACTGTATATCATTAAGACTGAAGATCTATTTAGGCCTTTCATCTTTCTGGGTAGAGCAGTATCAAGACAAATCTGGTCTCAGAGAGTTACTTTTAACATCAGCCAGCTTCATACACATGCATAAGATTAATCAGGTCAAATGCTGACCTCATCTCTTACGTCTTCTAATTCCCTCTATTACTTTGCCACACGTGTTGATATACTTTTGCCTGAAGTCTACACTACAGTTTTAATTCCCACTGTATATCTCATTTCTAACTGAACATTTTGCTACCATCTGAATTAGGAAATTATGAAAACAGGGTCTCTTATATTAACCATGATATCTTTACCTGTTGTCAACCTCTTGGTCAATATGGTTCAAACTCTTTACTCCCCCAAAGAGTAAAACATGATGTCGTCTGCAAATCCATGTCTCATATTGGCTGTCTTCCTACTCCAAGGCCTGTGTTATCCCAGGCCTTGACCCTCTGCAATTTTTGCTCCCTCTGAACCCTGCCGGAACTCAGCCATCTCCCTAGATATCTGATGTAATCCTTCTCTCTACTGATTCCCACAGTATCATCAGAGATGATCTCAGTAGAATGTAGTGGCGGTGGTCGTATGTAGACATTATTTGCCTATAAGTAAATCTGTTATTTCTAAATTGAGGAATGCTTTGTTTGTGTGACTTCTTTACTTTTCATATCAAGTGCACTCATCAGCAATAATGAAGCAAAATAATTTGCATTTCTGGTTTTCTGTTCTTATAATTAAAAAAAACCACTTTTCTTCCACAAAATATGAGGTCAACCAACAAATGGCAGTCATCTGTCAATTATTTTACTGAATATATCTCCACCTCTTGCTGAACCCAATTTCTTTCTCCAACACCAGTATTTTGCTTTCTTACTATTTGTATGCATGGTTCACTATTTTATCTCTTTTTGTAAAGTGACTTTAATTTACCTAAAAGTGCAACTGTTAAAACTTTTAAACAGCAATTATCAGAGTATGAAACCAGTCTCTTTCCTGTAGAGCTGACATGTACTTAGCTAATTACCTCATCATTGCCTTAGCAGTATTTACAGTGAAAGAAGCATTTATGCACAGCTTTGTCTGTGGGGCCAGGCAACTGTTAAATATATAATATAGCATTTTGGGTAACAGTTTTGAAATAGCTCAGAAAGCCCAAACAAAGAAAATTGAGGACTTACAAAAAGAGTGAAAAGGTAGACAGAGTTTAGGAACTAACAGATTAGGGAAGGATCAGATATCAGGATTTCAGTAAAACACTAATACCCCCATCCCAAAGTTAGTTATCTGTCTGTAAAGCTGAAAATATTCCCAAGAATGTCACAAATTCCCAGTGGAAACATCTATGGATATTAAAATAAAAATGGGGCTTCTTAAAAGATAATGCAAGGGATCCTAAGAATTATCTAATGAAGTCCTAAATATGTCAGAGTTCATTTCTTGAAAATAAAGTACAGTTTCACTCAATTTTAGTCCCAAGAGAAAAGCTTTAGGCAGTCAGTTCCCAAGCCATAGGTTCCTGGGGAGCTCCAGGATTAGTACAAAGGTTCCAAACTTCCATATACACACTAAGCATTATATGTAGACATTACATATCTCAAACATAAATGTATTACTCTTTTTTGAGTCTGTGTAGTCTCTTGTATAATGAAAAATGCATTTTTTTCTAAATACATGGTAGGTTTTTTAAAAAGTGGACATTTCCTTAAAAACAGTTAAGAAAATTAGTTTGATGACAAAAGATCTGTCACCAGGCTGGAGTGTAGTGGTGCAATCTCAGCTTACTGCAACCGCCCCCTCCCAGGTTCAAGCAATTCTCCTGCCTCAGCCTCCTGAGTAGCTGGGACTACAGGCCCACACCACCAAGCCCAGCTAATTTTTCTATTTTTAGTAGAGACGGGGTTTCACCATGTTGGCCAGGATGGTCTTGATCTCTTGACCTCATGATCTGCCTGCCTCGGCCTCTCAAAAAAAGATCTTCTTAATAAAGAAATTTGCAGACAATTCTAGACCAGGTAATGATATGTTCAGTTCAAATATAGGTAGGAAATTCACATAAGAAGGCTGGCAGGAGGGTAGAGAGACGGAGAGTCCTAAGTAAATAAAGTAGAGCGTAAATGGAAATACATGGCAAAGATGGGGAACAAATACAAAAAGACATATGGAATGAAATGGTAGATTTTCAAAGTAAGATTAATTTCATTGACTAAATTGAGTTTGAAAGACTATCAGGTATTCAGGTAGAGCCCATTGACAAGTGACTCTGAGGACCTGATTAAGAGAATGCTCTGAGTTACCTGGGAACATCAGCTGTTTTCCTATTAGGGTATAGTTTAAACTGTGAGTTTGATGAAATTGCCAAGAGAGAGAGTGTGTAACATGGGTAGTTAGTATGCCTAGCCCTCTGCTGGAAATTCTATGAGGATTAAATAAATGTTCAACAGAAGTGGATTTACAGGGAAGCTTAGCTTTGGAGCTCCTTACTTGCACGGGCCATTCCGAGGGTTTACCTCTAAATAGCTCTTATTTTTAATTTATCGTTTTGTATTTATTTTTTTAAGAGAAAGACTTCACACTGTAAAAATTGCAAGCCCCACAAAAATCTGGATCTATACATGTTCTAGTCCCTCAAGGAACCTGTACAAATAAAACATTAAGTAACAATAAAAACAGTTTGTTTCTAATTGTAGCTCTGATGGCTATTCAAAAAATGCCGTGAGCTGATGTGTTTCTATGGACATGTTTAATGAAAGAGCTGAGTCTTGGGCCGGGCGCGGTGGCTCACGCCTGTAATCCCAGCACTTTGGGAGGCCGAGGCGGGTGGATCATGAGGTCAGGAGATCGAGACCATCCTGGCTAACAAGGTGAAACCCCGTCTCTACTAAAAATACAAAAAATTAGCCGGGCGCGGTGGTGGGCGCCTGTAGTCCCAGCTACTCGGGAGGCTGAGGCAGGAGAATGGCGTGAACCCGGGAAGCGGAGCTTGCAGTGAGCCGAGATTGCGCCACTGCAGTCCGCAGTCCGGCCTGGGCGACAGAGCGAGACTCCGTCTCAAAAAAAAAAAAAAAAAAAAAAGAAAGAAAGAGCTGAGTCTTAAGGGTTGCAATGACACTTGAATGAATAAATGAATGAATGAACGAAGATAGAGAATTAATAGAAATGCAGGCATTTCATAAGGAAGTGAGGACACAATAAATAGAATAAATCAGTCTCAGGTTGTATGCTACCAGAAAAACCCCAGGAGATTTTTGTTTTCAAGTTTCTTGGCAGACTTTTTTTTTTTTTAACCTTGAGGCAGATTAGTATTAATAATAATAATTACACTCCCCCATACTATAGTCTACTTCGGCTTATAATTCTTTACCATTACGTATAACCTCACTATGCTGTTGACAGCACCATGTTGTTACAGAGTTAGGAAATATGGTAAGATGATGGCCCCAGGGTTCAGGACAAAGAGAGAAGATACAGGCAGCCACAGATGATGTATTCACATTTCAGATTTGGTTTCCCTATTGTGCTGCAATGCTGTTTGGGTTTTATTATTAATTATTTTGCCTTTATTTTTCTTTACACTTGGTAAATTTAATGAGCTGTTTCTAAGTAATGGTGCTTTTTTATTCCCACTGCTATCATTCTATTCCAAATCCTTATCAGTGCATGACTGTATTACCAACCTCGGTCTTTTCATGTGTTGAGTTCTTTTTTTTTTTTTTTTTTTTTGAGACGGAGTTTCGCCTTTATTGCCCAGGCTGGAGTGCAGTGGCGTGATCTCAGCTCACTGCAACCTCCACCTCCCGGGTTCAAGTGATTCTGCTGTCTCATCGTCCCAAGTAGCTGAGATTAGTTTTTGTATTTTTAGTAGAGATGGGGTTTCACCATATTGGCCAGACTGGTCTTGAGCTCCTGACCTCAAGTGATCCACCCGGCTCGGTCTCCCAAAGTGCTGAAATTACAGGCGTTAGCCATGGCGCCCGGCCTCATGTGTTGAGTTCTTACTTTCTGGTAGGCACTCAGTTGAGTACTGGTGATGAGCAGTGAATGAGATGGAGTTTATAGTCTAGCCTTTTAGATTTTCACAACTATTTATATTCTTTTTTAAACTTACCTTTTCATCTGTTTCTTTTTCTTTTCTATTTTTGCTCAATAAACTAAAATTGGCCTCCAGTTTTTGTTGCATCAGCCTCAATTTAAAGGCACCATCAGGTCTTAAAGTATCTCTCTCTCATACTCACCCTCTCTTTTTGTTAGGAATGTTTCCTGATATATCAAGTCCATCTTTCCTTTTGTGTGTATTAATTTTTTTTTTTTGCTTTAGGATGTATGGTTTTTTTCCCATCTATTTACCTAAATTTTACTCTTTTTAAGCCCATCCTCCTCTCAAAAAACATTAATTTTTTCATCTTTATTGTTTTCCCCTCTAATTAATTAATTTATTTATTATTTATGGACTTATAGGCAGTATCAATTTTGTGCTTATGTTTGCTGATAGTTTTCTGCATTTTAGTTCTGTATCTTCAACCAGATTTTAAGCTCCCTAAGTCATAGACGGTTAGAGATTACAGGAGTAACTTGGTCTGAGTAACATTTCAATCAATATTTTTATTGACATACTCACCCAAGTATATCACATTCTCTGCATTTTAAAGAAGAAGAGGTAAAACTCCAAGAAAAAATGACTTTTCTATGGTCAAACAACTAGTTGTTAGCAGAGCCATATTTGCATCAGTACTATTTCCACTAACCCTTATCTTCCATGTTCCACGTGTTGCCTGGGCCAGGGTTGAACAGGTAGCAGGTGCTCAATAATTTCTTTTAATGGTATGTACAGAATGAAGTATATTTGTTGCAATGACTCATTCTATGGTTACATGGCCAAAGGTAAAGGTTGACAATAGAGGATCTATTTTTCCCTTGTCATAAGTAAATAGGGGATGGTGAAACATGAAGGGTCAATGAAAATATCAAAGGTGAGCATATAACCTCACTATGCTGTTCGTTACAGGTGAGCAATTGTTTTAAAACTACTTTCTTGCTAATTTTGGGTGATAATTGCATTTCCTGAGTTGATGACTTAACAAATGTTTTATGATTTAGAGGCACCATCAGATCTAAATGCCCAGCCCCTGCACGGTAGACAATTTATTTGGCTTGGCAAACTCCACTCTCTTTTTTTTTTTTTTCCTTCTTCAACTTCTAGTGAAGTTGGCCTCTTGGAGATGGCATTTTTAAGAGTAATGCAGATACCTCCTTTCCTATCAATAAAGCTGTGATTTACAGTATTTAATCTAGTTGAAAGGAAAGAAAAATGGAATTCTGCATACAGAATAAATGAAATTATAATAAAATGGCACACTCCCAAAGTTTTCCTTATATGTAGAGTATAAACCTGGCACCCAGCCTTATTTGCTGCATACAGAGCTCCATCGATCAGAAAAAATGGAAAGCCTGGCATTCCAAGACTCTCAATACTGCATTTCACTTACTAGGTTCTGTAGAATTTATTGGGTAAGTAATGTGGTATTTAATCCACACTATGTCCTCTCTTCTGTATAAGACTAAGTCTCTATGTAAGACCTAGAAGTATTCTTTATAATTTCTGCCTCATATCTATCTGGATTCTACTTTTTATCCATGTACTGCCGTATTCTGGGTTGTCCTGTGACCCTCAATTGATTATAAAACATTCAGCCTTCATTAGTAAGAGCTTCCTTTGATTTTTTTTCCATCAATAATTGCCCCTTGGAGAAGGTACGACTATGGAAAATTGTTTGTGTTTTGTCACTAACTTAGAAATACTGGAATGAAATGGAAATATTTCCCCAATGAACTATAAACTGCTCTCTCTTGCTCAGCCTCAAAACTTGAGTGTGATTTAATGTTTATTCAGCACCAACAATGTACAGGCACTTCAAAAAAGCATTCTGTTTATCTAGCACTCTAAACTTCTAAAGACATGTCACATACATTGCCTAATTAGTCCTCACCAGACCCGAGTAAAGGAGGAAAGGAGGACATGCACATTATTCCCACTACACACAGTGGAAATAAAGCTCAGACTTTTTAACAAGATAATTGAAGTCAAAGGGCCACAGGACATGAGTGAAACACATTCCCTGACTCATTCTCAACTAACCAATAAAGTACATTGCTTGTTTTTCCTCTCTCTATTCCCTTTTTAGTCATTTGTTTCCATCACCTGTTCTAGACTCTGGTTTTAGACTCTGGTTCATTCTTGTCTTAAATTTTTTAAAAAATACTGATATTTTCTTTTTGATCTTGCTGTGTTCTTCTTCTCTTTGTGCAGTATTATTTATGAATCTATTTCCTCTTCTTTTTTCTTTTCACTTACTACTGCATTTAAACTGTTATTATAGGAGACATCACAGGAGGAAAACGCAGTGAGAACATTAAGATGGTCTCTCTCTCAGTCTCTCTCTTTCTCTCGTGTTTCTGGTGCTATGTTCAGTACTCGCTCTCTGTTCCCATTGAGGTTGCAGCTTCTCTGCTGAATCACTGCTTTGTATTCAGCCAGGGACCGTGGAGTATTCCCAGTGTATTTATTTTCTGTTCCTGAGCTGAATGCTGGGTGCTTCTTTGTCCTGATGCCTTCTGCAAAGGAGTTTAGGAGGTGGGGGATGGAGGGGAAAAAGAGGAGGAGGGATAGGAAAGCCAATAAAGCTTTCTCTATCCCCCAGAGGAATGTGTGCAAACATCTTTAACATTGCTTTCCTCAGTGTTCTCCTCTCTGCCACCCTTGCTCTTAATTGGATCTAGACTCTAGAGAAAACAACTTTGTTAATGGGATGGTTAAAGAAAAAGAGAGGTGGATGTTGGCTGTGCTCAGTTCTGGCATCGTGTCCTCTTTGGGAATAAAAGTCTCAGATGCCTGATCTGAGGAAGGAATTCCACTTTCTTGATCATGAGGAAATACCATTTTCCTTCTGTTGCAAGTTTTTTTTCCCCTCTTAAAATGAAAGATTATATTCTGTGTCTCCTAAAGATACACGAAACTAATTTGCTTAGCAAATATAGCTCATCTATTTACTCAGCTATTTGTCTAGTCATCCATTAATCTGTTTGTTTATACCTTTGACATATGGCTGTTAACCATGTCTTTGTGCCAGGCACTGTGCAAAATTTTGGGAATAAAGTAGTAAATAAGAGAAATAAAGTAACAACTCTCACGGGGCTTACATTCTGATTGAAGAGGAAAGCAGTAAACAAGTATGTCAATACATAAATAAGATAGTTACAGCTTGTGGTAAATGGTAAAGTTGAAAATAAACAGATTATAATAACAAAACTATGAAAAGGATATTTTGGAGAAGGTATCCAGGTAAGACATTTCTGAAGGGGTAATATTACAGTTGAGACCTAAAAGCTGCTTATATAAGCTTAGCAGCACTATTTATTTTTAGCAGTTTTAATGAGGTACAACTTATATATAATAAAATTCACTTGTGTAAAATATTCATTTCAATTCATTATCAGTAATGTACAGAGTTTTGCAGCCATCATCACAATCTAGTTTTAGAATACTTTCATCATTCCCAAAATTTTTTTCATGCCCACCTTTAGTCAGTCCCCATTTGTACTCCAGACTCTGGGCAACCTCCAACTTACTTTCTGTTTCTATATACAGTTGTTCCTTGGTGTTCTGGGGGACTGGTTCCAGAACGTCCTTTGATACCCAAATCAAGTCTCTTCTATAAAATGGGGTAGTATTTGCATATAACCTACACATATGCTCAATATACTTTAAATCATCTCTAGATTATTTATAATACCTGATACAAAGTAAATGTTATGTAAATAATTGTTATACTATATTGCTTTTTATTTGCATTATTTTTATTGTTGTATTGTTATTTTTCATTTTTTCAATATTTTCAGTCTGAGGTTGGTTGAATCCGTGGGTGTGGAACCCACAGCTATGAAGGGCTAACTGTATTTGCTTTTCCTGGACACTTCATATAAATAGAATCATACACTACGAAGTATTTTGCATCTGGCTTCTTTGCCTTAGCATAATGTTTTTGAGATTCATGCATATTGTAGCATGACTTAATAGTTTGCTCCCTTTTAATGACTAAATAGTATTCCATTGTGTAGATATGCCATATTATGTTTAACCATTCACCCGTTAATGGACACGTGGATTGCATCCAGTTTGGGGCTGTTATGAGGAATGTTGCTTGGGTATTTATGGTCAATTCTTTGAGGGAACATATATTTTCATTTCTCTTCCATAGGTACTGAGGATTGGAATTACTGGATTATATGGTAAATCTTTTAACTTTTTAAGAAACTGCCATATTGTTTTCCAAAATAACTACACCATTTTAGGTTCCCACCAGCAATATATGACTGTTTCAGGTTTTTCATATACTTGTCGACACTTATGGTTGTCTCTCTTTTGGGTATAGCCATTCAAGTGACTGTGTAGTGATGTCTCATTATAGTTTTAATATTTACTTACCTAATACCTAATGTTGTGCATTTTTTCTTGTACTTATCAGCCATTCGTATGTCTTCTTTTGTAATGTGTTATTCAAATATTTTGCCTCACTTTTGATTGAGAATTTTGTTCCTTATTATTGAATTTTGAGAACTCTTCTTCTTCTTCTTTTTTTTTTTTAGACAGAATCTTGCTCTTGTTGCCCAGGCTGGAGTGCAATGGCACGATCTCAGTTCACTGCAACCTCTGCCCTCTGGGTTCAAGTAGCTGGGATTACAGGCGCCCACCACCATGCCCAGCCAACTCTTCTATTTTCAGTAGAGACAGGGTTTCACCATGTTGGCCAGGCTGGTCTCGAACTCCTGACCCCAGGTGATCCACCCGCCTCAGCCTCCCAAAGTGCTGGGATTACAGGCATGAGCTACCACGCCTGGCCCCAATAATTCTTTATAAATTCTGCATGTAAGTCTTTTATCTTTCAGGATATGGCTTATCTTTTTATTTTCTTTTAAAGTGTAAAAGTTTTGAATTTTGATGAAGTTCAATTTATCAAGGTTTCTTTTATAATTCTGCTTTTGGCATTGTAGCTAAGAACTTTTTGCCTAGACTCAAATTACAAAGAGTTATTCTTACCTTCTTCTCTAAAATTATATAGTTTTAGCTCTTACATTTGGGTCTATGATCCATTTTTTATCAATTTCTATGTATGCTATGAGGCAGGTTCTAAATTTATATTTTTTTCAATGTGGAGATCTAATTAGTCCAGCACCACTTGTTGAAAAGACTATCTTTCCTCTATATAATTGCTTTGGCATCTTTGCCAATTTATTTATATATTTATTTTTTAAGACACAAGTCTCTCTCTGTCACCCATGCTAGAGTGCAGTGGCGTGAGCTCCACTCACTGTGACCTCTGCCTCCCGGGTTCAAGTGATTTTCTTGCCTCAGCCTCCCAAGTAGCTGGGATAACAGATGCATACCACCACGCCCGGCTAATATTTTTGTATTTTTTAAAATTAGAGATGGGGTTTCACCATGTTGGCCAGGCTGGTCTCGAATTCCTGACCTCAAGTGATCTGCCCACCTTGGCCTCCCTCCCAAAGTGCTGGGATTACAGTCTGGAGCCACCGCGCCCGGCCCAATTTATTTATTTTTAATTGCTCTGTTTCAGAAGAAAACAATGGTTCATGAAAGCTGAAATATGTTAGTTTGTCCTTAGATCATTCCTTGTTATCTGATGCTGAAATTTTTAGTACTTCATGCCGAGTTTTCAAAAGATGTATAAGATATAGTCTTTTGATTATCTACTCTGAAAAAATGGGTTTGGGCTGGGCGCAATGGCTCAGGCCTGTAATCCCAGCACTTTGGGAGGCAAAGGCAGGCAGATTGCCTGAGGTCAGGAGTTCAAGACTAGCTTGGCCAACATGGTGAAACCCCATCTCTACTAAAAATTCAAAAATTAGCCAGGCGTGGTGACAGGTGCCTGTAGCCCCAGCTACTTGGGAGGCTGAGGCAGAAGAATCACTTGAACCCAGGAGGCGGAGGTAGCAGTGAGCTGAGATCGTGCCACTGCACTCTGGTCTGGGTGACAGAGCAAGACTTTCTCTTGAAAAAAAAAAAAAGAAAAGAAAAAGAGAAAAAGAAAAAATAGGTCTGTGCTAGGCACAGGTAGCTATAAACCCTTTTTCTGCTCTCAGTTTTCAGGAAGGAAATGATATATCTGCCTTAGCATTCAACAAGAATAGGTACAGTGTCACTTAGATGTTATAGGAACAAAACTTAGAATTTCTAAGTCAAGAGAAACTGACGTGAGAGTTATTTTTGTAAAAGGTATTATGATAAATATATTACTAGTGGTTTGGCTGTATGTCTAAAATACTTTCCTCTATTTTTTTAAATGGCTAATACAAGTAGATGAATACTCAGAGTTATACACATCTCATCTCTATGTTGGACAATGAGCAACTTATCCTATCTTTTCTGGCCCAAGTTGGTTCATTTTGCTTTGAGGTTTCTTATCTTTTCCCTGCGAATTTACAGACTTGGGTTTCCATTATTAGTCTGCCTTGTCCCTATTGATACCTGTTTTGGATTTTAAAAAAAGATTACTGCTTTACCCCAAATAAGTGTCTTTTAGATCTTCCTTATCTTTGTACGCTGAATCTTGACCCACTCTGCCCTACTTTTCTCCTCTCCTGGCTTCTAGCTCCTCACTGTCTAGACCTCAGAGCACTCATTTTCTAAAAAAAGAAATTTAAACAATTCTGAAACCAGTATTATTTAAAATCTCAATTACCTATTCTCAAGCCTCTAGAAACACAGGGGATTATCTATTCTATAACTTCCAAATGAAATCGGTAAATGATTTCTTGAGTACACATTCAGGGGATTAAAAAAAGATGTCACTTTTAACTGGAATTGTCAAAGAAGGCTTCGAAAATATGTGGCAAATGAAACTTCTTTAAGGAGGATGAGATTAATTGTGTAGTGATATGGTAGGGGATAGAAAAGTAGGGAACTCCAGGCAGTATTGTTTCATTTATCCATTCAGTCATCACCAGGTATAATGCCATAGTGGCAGGAAGCGTAGGGTGATTTGGGAGAATATTTATGAATTGCCTACCCAGAATAGGAGACACAGGGTAGCACTTCTACAAAGGTGACATCAATATGGTGTCTTTAATGCTCAAGTAACAGTTTGCCTATGATGGTTAAAAGGAATAAGAACAGATATGTTGGGGAGAGGAAATAGCACATGCAAAAGCACAGATACATACAGGTTTATGGAGAGTTCAGGGGACTAGTAGTGAATTGGTATGGATGAAGCATAGTATGAATGTGACCATGAGCGAAGGGGTAAACCTGGGGGAGCTCAAGCGGTTTTAGCAAATAGTGAATCCCTTTACCTGGTAAATATGAAGGTTGCAGAGAAAATTAAGATATCTATCTATCTATTTATCTATCTGTCTACATGAAAATGTAGACAAGAATTAGTTTTCAGCCACCTGGAATACCAAGTTCAGCTTTCTGAATTTAATTTTAATTTTACTGGGCAAAGGAAAGTAATTTGTTAATGCACATTGATATAATTGTGTCCCATGGCATAGTTTAAAGGTGAGGAATGGCTTGCAGCAGGGGATCATCCAGAAGCTTCCTGAAGTAGTATGTATTTCATGACATGAAGGGATAAGCTAGAATAGTAAGTGTGGCATTGAAAATAAATTTAAAAAAAAACATGAGAAATATAATGAAGAAATGATCAACAAGAATTTGTAGCTGGTTGGCTTAACGTGACAAGTGTGAGTGAAGATGTCATTGAAATTTCAAGCTTGCAAATAATAGGGAATTAAGCAAGGGGAGCATTTTTGGTGTGGGAAAGATGACAAATTGGGTTTTTACACATGCTGAGTTTGAGATGACATTGAAATATCTAATAGACCATTTTTGCTGGCCAACTGAGATAAGTAAGTTTCACAAGTGAGATCAGTGCTAAAGATTGGATTGGGAAGGTTTGCGGTATAGTGGAAGAAAGATTTGTACTTTAAAATAAACATAAATGGCATAAAAATACATTGGCTCAACTGTGGCTATACAGGAAAGTGACCAACTAAAAAATCCAGATACCAGTGAGAGGGAAAGAGACAGAATAAACACATATTTACAAAACAAATATTCTAAAAATGGCACAACTTTTTAAGATTGCATCTTTGATAACTCAAGGGAGTTTAGGTTATTAAAGCCACTGTAATTAGTCTCAAACTTCTATCTCTCTAGAATGTAAACATTTTCTCTGCAGTGTAAAAGGGTGCAGGCCTTTTCTGTGACTCCTGCAGCAGGAACTCCATAAGACCTACAGGACCTAGGCACTGATACTTAGAGACACAGCAAAATACTTTTTACTGATGGAGCCTCAAAGATACACAAAAGTGTTATACTGTCCTCTTGTCATCATTTATTTATTATAATCAGGACTGACAGGTGAAACAAAAAGACTCCTATTATTAAAAGAATAGGAAACCAAGCCAGCTGGTTTTTTAAAAAATGGCCAAGATGTAAGCCAAACTCTCTTTCTCTCCCTTTTTCATCCCCCTTGTCGTATTTCTGATTTGTGTTTTCTTGTCAGCATTTTCTCCAGCAGGTCGATTCCTCTTCAGCTAGTACCAGTGATTTTTAAGCAAAGGAAGAAACCTACTCTTTGCAGGTGAGAGATAATCAAATTAAATATTACACAGCCCCTGAAGTGCAGGCAGCTGATAACAAGAGCCAAACTCAATATCCTGACAGATGTTGTCTTGGATTGATTAATCTCTTCTCTCACTCTGGTTTAGCCATCCTCCAGCATGGACAGCATAGCCCCTTGGCTGCATCCCAAATGGGTTTCCACGTGGCTAGGACTGACCCAGAGAAACAACCCTGTTAAATGTGCAATGGAATCCCTTCCTTTTGAGGAGGAACTGAAAACCCAGCTACCTCTGCTTTGAAATCCACTGTAGTAAGGACAGATTTTGGGCTTAATTTATGGTGCTCAGGATAAAGATGTCTTTTCTCTGAATTTTTGGTTGATACACATACACACCATTTGCTCCTGAACTTTAAGTATTGAGGTATGCACATTTTTTGATGGAGAAAAATGTGGGAGATTTGAACAAATACAATCTTAAAAAGAAAAGAGCAAATAAATTACAAACTGCATCCAAATTTAAGTAGGGGAAGAAAAAAGAGATTCCTTTAATCTTTCACTTTTCCTCCCTGCCTTCCTTTCACCTCTCTTGGACCCCTCCTGTGTTTTCCTTCCTTTCTGCCTCTTCACTTACCCTTCTAACTTCCTTCTCTCGTCTTTTATTCTGTTTAATATGTATTAGTTATTATTAAGACACTTGCTAAATGTTGAGGACACAAAGAGGTTTAAAAAAAGAAGAAGAAGAAGAAGTCTCTGCCCTTATGCTGCACGTGCCTTTAACTCAGCAAGGGACCCAGGAGGTGATAAATCACAAAACAGCAATGTGATAAGCCATGTGTACGGGAGCAGAAAGATACCAGGGAAGGGTTCATAGGTTCATATAAGACATTAGGTTTGTCCTGGCCTTGAAGGATGGTCAGGTGGTCACCAAAAGGCAAGGAAAGGAGCATTCCAAAAGTAAGCATGAAAGAATGTGGTGTTTTGAGGTAGTTTGTCACCTGTATTCCAGCCTTGACAACTGCAGCATATTCACCACTCAGCTTGACACTTTCAATCACTTTCTAACTCCATTGTTCTTTTTATCCCCATTTTGCTTCTATAACCCATTCTCCTCCCAAATGTAGTATCTTAAACTGATGATCTAGGTTTTCAGTTTATTCCAACTCTAATCATGGTGCTCCCTTAAGATTCTGTATTTAACATTTACATGTCACTGCAACTGTGAGTAAAAATGCCTTACTCCTTTTCCAGTTCTGGTACAAAACATGTGTAGGTGTCCACCACGGAGAGGCAACACATGTCTTGGAGAGAGAGCAATTAAGTATGGCTTAGCTGGCACACAGAAGTGCTCAATTAGTGCTTGTTGTACTATTTATTTCAATAATGCTGACTGAAGGCAAATGGCCCGGAACCATTTCCCATACTACCTCAGTTTTGCAGAATAAAGTTTTCATCTATGGAAATAAAAATCCATGTGAATTGTAACTCTGCTTCTTTGAATTTATGTATTATTTCTATGTTAGAATTGCAAGAATATACAGTGAAGCCTTTGTGAATGTCATCACTTTAAGGAAAATGTTTGAGTTGGAATAAACATTTCATTTTAAAATGTATACAATTTATGGAGTACATTTTCACTAGCCCAGCTTCTTTCACCCCGATCCCTAACTACACTGCTGGCCTTCCCCTTGGCAGCTTCTCACCCCTTGTATGCCCAAAGCCTTGTTGATATAGTCCAGAATCTTTCATTTGCATTTTCTGCAAGGGCCTATGTTAATTCAATATCAGCAGCATTACAATCCAGCATGAAGGGTAAAACACTATTATTGTTTATTGTGCTTTTGAGTTTATACTTTACCTGTGGGAAGTTTCAAATGAATGCATCATGCCAGTTTCCCATAATCATCTATACACCTAACTTGAGGGATGCCAAGCTCTCTCCAAGATGAAACGAGAAAACCAAGATGATCTGGGTAATTCTTCCTGCCACTGTACCAAAGAGAACAGTCTCCCTCCTCTAGATCATTTTGTTATGCATGTTGAAAAGCATCAAGGAATGTATTTCTTGTTCTCAGCCCAGTGGCCAATGAATCTGTATCATAGCAGATTTAACTCTGTCCTCCAAAATTTGTCATTTAGGCCTATAGGTCTTTGTATCTATAGCCCTCCCTCAGCAATGTTGTGAAGCCTGAAATACTTACCTTTACCTTGTCCGGCAACCATTTTTTTGAACAAGTCTATGAATCACTATTCTGTCATTTTTTATGTCATATGAGCTCAAGCCATCTCTGTGAGCCTCATTTCTTCCTCTGTAAAATAATAACTATTGTAAAATAAAAACAAATTTGGACTAAGATAGGGAGAGCCTTTAGTTAGAAAGACTATTGCAATGGGGAGAATGCTCTGATCTCACAAATCTGAAAGCATCTTCAAATTAAGCAGATTTTTTTTTTCGTTTTTAGTGTGAAGGAGGGGCAAGCAGAGGTAAGCAAAATCTTTGGAAGAAAAACTGGACAAGCAAGGGGAGATGGCCAATGAGGTCTGATAGGGAGTTACCATGCTGTGGTCAGCCACTTGCCTGGAGAAACTAAGGGAGCATGCTCCACTTTTTTATTGCTTGCTCAGGCTTGGGAGCAAGCAGAGTGAAGGGCCTGTAGGAAAGAGAAACCTTAGTAAAATTTGGTCAATACAAAGCAGAGGGTAAAAAATGGGCAATCATGACTACTTGGTCACTATGTCACTATTATTTACAATTACTGTGGGAATTAAATGGCAGTGCAGATGCAAAAAGTCACAGATCACAGAGTAGAAATCACAGAACTCACTGATATTCCATGAGACAAATAGAAAAAGTGTTCAACAAACACAGTTTGATTTCTCTCAGACTCCATTTTCCTCCAGTTCCTCAAGATACACTAAAGAGTCTAGTCAGGCTTTTGTGTGAGTTAGATGTGTTTTAGCTGGAATATAATTTCCACTGAGATGAGAAGAACCAAACGTTGGACGATTGCTCTGTCTGCTTCAACTCAGTGAGATGTAAGATTGTTGAGGTCAGACCTATGTTTTCAAAATATGTCTGATGAAGAATAAATAAATAAATAGATGAATGAATGAACAAATGAACTGGAAGACACCGGCTGGGCAGGGTAGGACTGTGATATGCAGAAAGAATTGTGCTGTAAAATACAGAGGATGGATGTGTTATTGAAATCCACTGCGCTGCAGGGTAGAGAATTTTGAGAAACCTGCTACTGAAGGAGTAGGGGGTATTTTAGGGAAAGAAAAAGAGTCTGCTGGCTTTTTTTCTCCTGTAGTGAAGACTTCTGCCATTTTTGCAGTAATAATGATCCCCAGATGAGGTATAAAATTTACCCTCCAAAAATATAAATTCCCCAAAATGAAAGTTGGTGTAATGATCTGACAGTGTACAACAGCCTGCTTAAAGATGCAGGAAGTGCTGTTTAAAACAAATAATGTCCATTCCTTCAATTGGATATTTTCATCCAGCCGCCTTTCCTGCCTCCTTCCTTTTCCACCTTCTTAGAATTGATTAACTATTAGAGACATGCATTAGGGTAAAGGGACAAAAAGGACTGATTGCAAAAAGCAGTTTCCTGTTTTTTTGGTTTGTTTTTTTTTTTGTAATTTTCTGTGAGACTACCAGGTGACTGTTTTCAACTTTCTTGTCCTTTCTTGTCCTTACCAGAACCACCAATATGCTAGGAAGACTTTTGCTTCTGTCACTGGATGTTCTTTCTCTTGAATTTTTCTCTTTGTTTACTGTATACAGGAAGCCCTGAACTACAATTGGTATCTGAGACTTTTTCTGTGGATAATTTGTACCCATACCCTTTGATGCAGAGTGGCCTTTCTCCGCCTGCTGCATGTGCATAGGAACCAGTGGATGAGAAAATACAGGACTTTGGTGCTGATTCAATTTAAAGTATAGTACCTTTGCTCATGGTGACTGAATCATTGGGTTAAGTGAGTATCTAGGCTATGAACAGTCAAATTAAACCTTTCCACCCCTTGTGGCAAGCAAGTAGAAGGCACACAAACATACGGGGAGAGCCTTTGAGCATCTTGTATAAATATTTTAAGGATTATATAGAATATCTGCAAAGACTAGGACAGTGCTTAACATAAAATAGGTCCTTAATAAATGAGAAAGTGTTATTTGGTTTTTAATGTTATTTTATTAGGCATTTAGGTAGTTTTCAGGATTTCCAAGTAGCTTATTCTTTTGAATAACCTGATTTATTTTAATGAAATACAGAAATATGATATATATATATATATAATGTCATGAAAAGTATGCTTAAAGCATGATTAGTTTGAAGTCATTTGTAATTTTCTTTACAAGAAATTTGTGGTTTTAATGGTATAATCTTAGGGTTGCTGATATCATTATAAGCCATTGATTATCAAACTTTACATCAGAATCACCTGGAAGATGTGTTAAAAATGGATTGCTAGGTGGAACCCAATAATTTATATATCTAACAAGTTCCCAGGTGAAGTCGTGGCTGGTCTAAGAAACCACATTTTGAGAATCACTGTGGTAGCCAAATGCTGATGGTGAACAGCATCTGGCTACAGCAGTGATTTAGTGAGTATTTAGTGTCTTTATTGTTTTCTGCCTGGTAAATGGAAAAAAATAATTAACTTCAAAGAGTTAATGTCTGCTTTCTTTCCAATACTATACTGATGCTGCCATCTCAGATTTATTCTCAGGAAGTAAAGGACTCTCAATTTTCTTTTTGATGTTTAGGTTTATCTCATTTTTTTGAAAGGTTCAGAAAGTCACCAAACCATAACGATGTTAAATAATAACATTAAACAATAAAATCCCCCATTTTAAAAGAATTTGGGGATTAGTATTTCTTTAGACTGTTGATGTGACAGCTTTCTTCGACCCAAGCTCAAATGCAATGTAATTCATGATTTCTGAAGATGCTTCTAAACTACGAACTTGCTGTCAGTACTTGTTTAATTCTTGCTTGGTAGATGGCTTATTTTCTCATTAAAAACCTATTTTCATTGACCTAGGTCCTTGATTTCTCAAAACATTTCTTATAGAGGGGGAAGAGAGTTCAAGTGAGTGATCAGAGATGTAGAAAGAATCATGAGTAAAGCATGTTTTTATAATGCCTTTGATGTGGGAACCTGCATAGTGAGACTGAATGTTTTTCAGGAGTTCCAGACAGAGAGAACCAAGAGAATCCTCTGTGATGCTTTCTAGAGAACAGATCTTTTTAACTCAATCTAATCTATTGCTTTGCCTTTCTGTTCATTTCATACATGTCCATGTTCATTCTGGCTATTGGGTATAATAATCATGTATGAATAATTACAGTTTCCACCTGTGTCCATTGAAGTCCCTGAGGAGGAATAGTTTCAGGGAAGCAGAATTAGTGGTAATAATGGTATCAGCAATATAACTGCCTTAGTCCGCTTTCTCTTGATATAATGGACTACCACAGGTATTTAATAAGAACAGTTTGTTTTGCTCACAGTTCTTGAGGCTGAGAAATGCAAGAGCATGGCACCAGCATCTGGTGAGTGGTTGTTCCATGGCAAAAGGCAGAAGTAAGCATACAAGACAGAGAAATGGGGGTCAAACTTATCCTTTTTTCAGGATCCCACTCCCTCAATAATTAACCCTCTCTGGCAATAACAGCATTAATCCATTCATGAAGTCAGAGCCCTCATGACCTAATCACCTCTTAAAGGTCCCACCTCTTTTTTTTTTTCTTCTTTTATTATTATTATACTTTAAGTTTTAGGGTACATGTGCACAATGTGCAGGTTAGTTACATATGTATACATGTGCCATGCTGGTGTGCTGCACCCATTAACTCGTCATTTAGCATTAGGTGTATCTCCTAATGCTATCCCTCCCCCCTCCCCCCACCCCACAACAGTCCCCAGAGTGAGATGTTCCCCTTCCTGTGTCTGTGTGTTCTCATTGTTCAGTTTCCACCTATGAGTGAGAACATGCGGTGTTTGGTTTTTTGTCCTTGTGATAGTTTACTGAGAATGATGATTTCCAATTTCATCCATGTCCCTACAAAGGACATGAACTCATCATTTTTTATGGCTGCATAGTATTCCATGGTGTCTATGTGCCACATTTTCTTAATCCAGTCTATCATTGTTGGACATTTGGGTTGGTTCCAAGTCTTTGCTATTGTGGATAGTGCCGCACTAAACATACGTGTGCATGTGTCTTTACAGCAGCATGATTTATAGTCCTTTGGGTATATACCCAGTAATGGGATGGCTGGGTCAAATGGTATTTCTAGTTCTAGATCCCTGAGGCATCGCCATACTGACTTCCACAATGGTTGAACTAGTTTACAGTCCCACCAACAGTGTAAAAGTGTTCTTATTTCTCCACATCCTCTCCAGCACCTGTTGTTTCCTGACTTTTTAATGATTGCCATTCTAACTGGTGTGAGATGATATCTCATTGTGGTTTGAATTTGCATTTCTCTGATGGCCAGTGCTGGTGAGCGTCCCACCTCTTAATACTGTTACGATTAAATTTCAACACAAGTTTTGCAGGGAACATTCAAACCACAGCAATAAGATTATAGCCAGCCACCTATGGCCTGGAGAAATAGAGCTGCTATAGGAGAGGCTGACCCCTCCGTTCGCAAAAAAGAAGACCCTATGAAAAAGTGAAAAAGCCATTATGTAACATTTTCTGCTTATGCTTTGGAGGTACAAGTTAGACCAGAGAAAGGACAGCTGAAAAATTCCATCTCTCCTGGCGAGTTACTGAGCTTGATGGGCAAGGAATGAAGAGGAGAGACCTGATGTGGCTATGGGGTTGGATCTCTAGGAAAAGAATTCTAGGAAGCATCATAGAGTTTCATGGATGAACCAAAGGACAACCATTGTGTACTTGTCTGACCATGTATTATTTCTGTGACCTGAATTTTGCTATGAAAAGTTTTCGTAAGAAAAGAAGTTAAGGAGGTGTTTTAAAATAGAAGCTAGAAATAGAAGAAAGCAAAGGAAGTTTGTTCCCAGTTTAAAAAAAAAATGGCTAATTAGGTAATCCTACAAAAGATTTTTAAAACTAGCAGTTGCTTTTAGAGGTGGATTCTAGCAGGTGATGGAGCTTCCTCTAATGTTAATCCTTCTGCTGTGCAGTGTCCTTCAGCTTCACCAGAGTCCATTAGAATAACATGACACTGGAGGTTTTGTTCAAAAATCCCTTTTCTGAGCTCCCCTTGTCATTTCAATATTTAAGCCTCTATTTAGTGAGGTCAAGAATCAGGAGTCTTATAAAAAAAATTCTGTCCCCCCTATTCGGTATAACTGTCTATGAAGAGTGCCAAGAATCTTATCACTTAGAGTCGTGATTGAGGTGCTATATAGAGATTTACGAAAAACAGCAGAAATTATCTTAATGTGCTGAAAATTGTATCCTCATAATGAAAACTCAGAAAGGATGGGAAAGTGAGATTCACCTGAGGTAAACTAAAGGACTGTTCTTGAAACAAACAAACAAAACACTTAAGGGAATCCTGTGAGTCCTCTTCCCTGTGGCACTAGCCTCAGTGAGAAATGTCGTGGCAGAGGAGGCAGAGTTAGGAATCTGAGCAGACACGTAGTGGGAGAGCTGGCTCTAAACGTGCCAATAATTCTCTTTTTCCTTCAGCATGCCTCCGTAAATAAGCATCTTTCTTCTTCAATTCAGCTCCTCCAAAGTATTTACAGCTCCTTAATTAGACGTATGTCTGCTATTTATTACCATTTAAAAGGGCAAGTGGTTAATGTCCCACTGTTTAATATTTCTAGTAATTAATTATTAACTAAATAAGCACAGCTCTTTCTCTACTTACCTCATATTCGGTTGTGTCTCCTTGTATTTATACGTTAATATGGAGTAATTAAATGATAGCAGGAGAAGTGCCTCAGAGCTAGCCAATGTCATCAGCATTACGATGGATCTATGGCTCACCCTTCCAGTCGCCATTAGTGCTATTTTTAAAGAATGGATTGCAGGGGGCAGATTCTACCAGTTGTTCTGACTTCCTCAGGTCATGAGTGCAATTTCTTATAGGTATAAATTGGAGCAGGTTACCTTTATTTTCATCTTTAAAAGGGAAATGGGATGAGTGAAAACTACAGATCCCATCATGCAAAGCAGCTTGGCAGTACTGATCAGAAAAAGACCTTACAAAAAGACATGTTTCATCTCCTTGAGATGTCCCTCAGCAGTAAAGAGGAAGATGACTGAAGTCATCCTAAAGCATCTCTGTGCCAAATTTGGGCTGGAAACTACACTTTGCCCACACCAGACTTACATCATCCCTGATGGATGCAGAGGGAAAATGCTTAAACAAACAGCTGGTAGTTAAACTTTTACTGTGTCTCATAACAATGTCAATGATAACCCTCTCTCATTCAAGAAATCTGGAGAGCTTTACACATGATAGACACTTTTTAGCACTCCCAACACCCCTCCCAGGCAACTAGGAGCCAATATGATCTCTGGTGCTCAGATGGGGAAACCAATGTAGAAAAAGGGCAAATCACTTTTTCTGTTTCTGCACAATGACGCAACAGCAAGGAATAGAACGTATATCTCCTGACTGCAGTCCGCATGGGTAGGCACTGGACCACATACTTAATGAGGAATTCCTTGTGAGAAAGACCATATGTACAACTAAAGCAAAGAAGGGTTTATGCTTTATAGTCATTGTGTATCTGACAATCAGTAAGCCAACTCATTTTCAAACTTCCAGTTCTTATGTTTTTATGTAGTTATTATTCTCTTGGTGTGACAGAAAAGCATTGACTTTGGAGTTAGATAGACTCAGCCATTAACTAGCTCTGAGATATTGTGCAATCTCTCTAGCTTCTCCGAGCCTGTTAAATGGAGGAAAATAGTATCTATCATGCACGGTGGCTATGAGGATTACATGCCTATTTTTACTCTGCCCATAGTTAAGACTGGATGTTTTTCAATGTGTTGAGTGTAAATTGAAAGATTGTACCAGTCATTCAGGTGTGATTAAGTTGCTAGGCAGGAAAACTCAATTTAATACCCACTGCTTCTTTCTAAAATAAAATGCCAAAAGTATAAGAATGCTAAATATTCTTCTTCATTCAGATTTTATTTTCAGAAGTTCCACACTGTAGATTTGTCAATTTCAAATAAATTTTTGATTTTAGTTAATTTCTCCAAAGAATGAAAATAAACATTCTTTCTGCACTTTTAGAACAAACACATAGCATTGATGAATGTCTCATCTATCCATTTATTTACTTACAGTAACATTCACTATAACTGTAGCTTTTATATAAATCACATTTTCCAATTGTAGGCAATATATAATCATTACATAAAATTTAAATGACATAGATATGTGTAAAGATGGAAAACATTAATAGTATTTGATGCATCTTTCTTTACAATCTCCTCCAAGAACATATTTCTCAGAGTCCATGTTTTGTCCCTATTTATTTTATTGGAAGTATTATGATAAGAAGTTTGTGTGATGATTACCTCAAGCCTACTCCTTAATAAGCTTACATTAGGCTCTGATGTACCTTCTTATTCATCATGGTTCTATAATAGTATATTTTAATACTATATAAAATAGGATGAAACTTGTTAGAGCCTGACTCTGTTTGTAGGAGCTTATGGCTTGTCACTTGTCACAAGAATTGGTCCACTTGGTGAATGATAGTTGGGTCTGGAGTTAAGAATAAATACCGTCAGTGGCCACATGGGAAGCTGGGTTTAGTAGACACTGGCCTCTAGATTGTTCCTGTCATGCTCAGCTTGCAAATTTTAACATGCAAATTCATCATTTTCCATGACAAGGTAAATCAGGCATGCAAATCATGTACCATAGTCATGAAGATTGCTACATGAACAATAACCAACAATTTCTTAAGATTGAACAACCCCAAGGTTGCTTCCATAAGTCACCATTCGCTTTTATGCACATCCTCAGGCTATACTTAGACCTTTTTCCTAACATAAGCATTCCTTGCAAAGGCCTGAAGATGAAGAATAGAATCTTGCTGTATCCTTACTGGTGGGTATAGGGGGGAATGGCATAGGGGTTCCTTAAAACCTTACTACTATTGAGAATCTATATTTAAGATTTGCAATAATCAGTATTGAGAATCAACTAAAGGTCATTTAAATTTGACTTTTATTTAATTACCTTCACATTTTGCCTCTAATAACATAACTGTTTCTGCTTTATTCAAAATAGTCTTTTAGGCTTCTCTCTGTATCTGCTTCACATAGGTGTTTGATGGATGCATGTTTGGAAAGACACCTGTATATATATTATAGGGTATAGACAAGTAGATGGAAGATGAACAGAGAGAAGGATACATAAATGGATTATGAACTGATGAAAATGTACTGTGTGTTCCCTTCACAGACAGATATGCTTGGCTATTTTTTTTATCAGTCTTCTTAAAGAACTTGAAATTTAAATTAAAAAAATTCAATTAGTGAAGGCAGAAAGTTAAAGTTTCTTCATACTCTTGCAGCAGATGCTTTGAGAATCAAAGACAGGTGGCTTAAGAATTACTAAAAAGAGCCATCACTTGTCTTTTTTATTTTCCATTCTCTTCTTGCCATAATTTCTTCCTTTGCGCTTTCTCTTTTTACCTCTTTCTAGGCCTCCTCTTCCTTTTCTTTATACTTACATTTTCTACTGCCCTATTTGCTATTTTTTTCTCTCAGTCTCCCTGTTACTCTCTTTATTTTGTTCTACCTTAGTTCTGTCAAAAGTGACCATTTATTTTAGTTTTTACTTGTTATTATGGGGGTGCTGTGTGCATGGAGAACAGGAGGAGATAAGCTTTCAAAAAGAAATAGAAGTGCTGTTCCAAATTTGCCATTTTTTCTCTCTATTGCAATAGCAATCATTTTCTACTCAATTCCTAATCAAAGGATGAGAAGAAGATGCAAAGAAAAATTGTGAGGTTTAAGTGGAAGTATTTGATTTAAATATCAATTAAAAATAAAAAAGGCAGGAAGCAAATGTAAGACAGCAGAGTAAAAAAAGAGGCTCAGAGAGGATAACCAAAAGGGAAATCACCAAGAAAGGATTCATAATTATATCATGCCTCCTGAAAGAGAGCCATGCCTCTGAAAATTTAAACTCTTTGATGATAAAGCTTTAACGCTGCTTATTGATTCCAAGCTATACTGGGTAGTATAAACTTTAACCTATATCTATGGTATGATTTCCAAGACATAGAAAGAGCTGGGTGTTTGGATAATTCTCTTTGTATGCTAATTTATTCAGCATTGGTGGTTGTGGCCTGTACTGCTTCATGCAGTACATCCTCAGAGTTCCCCAAGTCTCGAATAAGTGAGTCTTCAAAATAGAAAGGAATTTCAGATACCATGTTGTTTGTTGACCTTTAATTTTTTTGGCAGATGTACACGTCCAGATTTTTACCAGAGCTAAAAGAGAATATTAAAAAAGATAGAAATGTAACTGCTATGCAAAAATTATATCATTTGAATTTGCAGCAAAGTGAATATAGGAAACAACTAGAAATTTTATAAAATTCTTGCTGAGAGTCCAGATAATTTTCTAGGCTCATACACCAGTGAGAAACTAAAATCTTACCTGTTTCTGGTTTTTCCATGTTCAAGTAGTTACTTCTCTTTCTTCCCACTATGGTTCACACATACCTCCCTCCCAACAGATCAGAAAGGTGGATTCTACTTCTCTGTTATTAACTAACTGCATGATCATGGGCAGGTTTCAAAATCTGTGGATTCCATATCAGCATCTGCAAAAAATAATTAATCAATTGCACCTCTAATGAGCCTTATAGATCTCAATATTCATGAGACTCATTAAAAACTTTTCTCCTCTTTCTTATTTTTCTTTCCTTTTTCTTATTTTATAACTTAGTGCTTCTGTTGATCACAACACTGCTCATCTGCTTGGAGTTTTACATGTTTTTTTCTTGTTGTTCATTTAAAGTCAAGATGCAACATCTCCTCTTTAACTATTTATCGTATTGGAAGCATTTCATATTGCCAGTGTGACTGTTACTAGCAGTGTGTCAGACAGAACATCTCAGAGTGGCATTTTTGCAACCCAGACAAAGAAGTTTCTCACACTGTCTGTCTCCCAGATGCTCTCCACTTGTCTTCTGTTCTTATCCGGAAGATAAGTAAGTAGCTCATGTTCCTCATAGAAATAATTTAGCAGCTTGTCTGTCTAGAAGGTAATGGCATAGCATGTGTAATTCCTGCAATTTTGATAGTGTAACATAATAGGAAATGAGACACCCCCAAACTGCAACCCAGACAGCCCTGTTGTTCAGAGTGGTAAATTACTCCAGCCTCCTACTCACAGAAGTATTGCGGTCAGTACCATGCATCTATGCCTGTTCTTTTGAATCTTTTCAAGCTGCCTATATCTAGGAAGCAAATATATTACTTGCGTACTACCTAAAACTTACAGATAGCCCAATATGAATAAACTCTTAGCCTCTGAATCCAATGATTTTGGGCTCTTTTTATTCCAATTTCCCATTGAGTTGCCCCTTTTCAATAAATCCTGGTTTTGTGCAATGTTAACATATCTCAAGTCCTGAGGTGCATTATTACATTGACCTCAGAGACTAGAAAATGAGACATTTAGAGGAAGAGAAACAGAATTGGTCACATGTTTGAATATCTATACAGAAGAAAAGAGAAAGAAAATTTCTAGGAAAAAATATGAGCCATATTTCTCCTGTAAATTCTGAGTGTGGCTTTTGATATTTACCACAAAAAAACAATTTTGTCACCTTAGAATCATGTGATCTGTCTGAGGTTGGCTAACAAGGAGAAAAAGCCATCTGTTTTATTAAATTAAATTATAGTATTTCTTTGTGAGATAGTATATCTGTAGAGAGTTTTATTGTCATCATTATCATTGTAATAATAATGACAGGCTGTCTTCCTTTGACTTTACGACTTATTTACATTTATTCACCCATCTGTCCATTCGTCTACCCACCACATTCATCCATTCACCATCCATCATTAATCTGTTAATTTCTTGAATGTCTTCTGTGCATATATTCTATGTAAGGCACTTTGCAAGGAACTAGGAAGTGCCTTATAGTTTACTATAACTATCTATTTAAGCCAGTCTGGTACTAACTGGCATATTTTTACTTTATGAGAAACCCTTCCAAAGCAGGGGAAAAGTAATATTTTCTGAAGCATTAAAAACAGAGAGAATTCTAACTTTCTCTATTAGATCATAATAAATAGATCCTTAAACTTGATTTTGTATTTACAACTGAATCTAAAATTTGCAATCAATATAATCATGGATCACATAGACTATTTGTACCCATTTTTGGCATCTAAAAATACATGGTAACATTTCAAATGGTGAATTTTTACCATGATTTGTTTTTATTTTCTGATTTCTTTATGAATTAAAACTTTAGGGGAAAAATACTTCCCCCTTTAATCTCCTATTTTAACATATAAAAAATTCTAAGCTGACTTTGGGAGGCCAAGGCTGGAGGATTGCTTGAGGTAAGGAGTTTGAGACCAGCCTGGGCAATATAGGGAGACTCTGTCTCTAGGTTAAAAAAAAAAAATTACAAAAGTAGCCATGGTAGTGTAGTAGTACACACCTGTAGTCCCTGATGCTCAGAAGGCTAAGGTTGGAGGATTGCTTGAGCCCAGGAATTTGAGGCTGCAGGAGCTATGATCACCCCCCCTGCACTCCAACCTGGGCAACAGAATGTGACCCTGTCCTTTTTTTGTTTAAAAAAAAAAAAGATTCTATGCCAAATCTACATTTTGCAACTTTTAGTGTGGTTAATCAATCATGTATGAGACACATTCACTGCATAAATCTTGAGAAAATATGTAAAATAATAAACCCATATGTATTTCAACCCATAAATTTTTGAGAGCACACAGAATTATTTCAATTAGACTTTTAGCTAAATTTTATTAATTTGGATTTAGTTAATGTATGCTCTTCAAGTTGTAGATTTGTTAAATTTCTACCAAGGGATTTTTTTTTTCTTTTTAAGAATGTCCTTTAAAAGTTCACAAATATCTCCCAAATTAATCTACCATCAGTAGTATATATTTAAGTGTTCAATAAATAAGAGATGCAAAAGCAAACCCTTAAGATGAATATCTTAATACATTCACAGTGATTTTTATGGAAATAGAAATACCTTGTTTATTATTGAGCTTACATTCACAATTATGTAGTTTTAACTATAAAGAAAAGGAAACTTTCAAGCAAATGCCACGTAGAAAAGTCTCAGAAGAGGGTTACTATTAGCATTAGTTTATTGTCCAAGGCACTGTCTGCAAACTTCTTGTTCCAGCATAACTGTGAATAACATCCATTTCACTTTCAAAAAATCCACTTTGGGCAATCAATTATTTTATGACTACAAGTTCGGAAAGACTGATTAACTTGGTTTAGATTTCATGACCTCTCTGGACTAATCACTGTGATCAGAGGAGTAGGATACAGTGATTGGCCATATCTGGATTATATGCTAACACTTGAGTCCAGAAACCTAGGGAATTTGGCAGCTTCCACTTGAAACATAGGTGGATTCCAGAGGAGCATTCCCTGAAGGCAAGAGTGGTTTTCACTAGACAGTGTAAAGATGTGCTTACTGCACAGGTAAAACACACATATATCCATTGAGTCATAACAGAGTGCAAAGAATGCTGAGAAGGGGGGTTTTACTGCATCTAGTATTTTGTATTACATGGGGGTTTTATTGCATCTAGTATTTTGTATAGTAGATTTATCTTTTAAAACTGAAGACAGTTATAGTGCATACTCTGAATAAATCAGCCCAGTCATTTATGTGCATATACTCGCATATATATATGCTTGATGATGTATACGTATGTCTGTATATGTGTGTATAAAAACATACAGCCTTAACCTTATTTAATGCCAATAAATAGTGAATTAATTATTAGCATACTTTTTAGGGTTATAATTATGTCTGTATTTATATAAGCAATTAAAATGACTTTGAATGAAGATCTTGGCAGTTTTTGTTTGTATGTTTTTAAAAATTTTCTTACTGTTGGTGATTGAGATATTGAGATATGCTGTTTTTAAATTAGAGTGGCACAGGTATAAGTAACATGTACACATTTTGCTTTCCTAGCCAGGCCTATCCTCAGCAGTTTCACAAGATAACAGTTTGCAGGAAAAGTCAAGATCTTTCTTAAATGAAAAGTGATTATTCATCATAATAAAATGGCAAATCATACCTTAATGAATGGATGTACTAATGTCTATTCACTCTTCAGATATATTAGCCTAAATTGGTCTTTAGCCCTAACATGTGAAATCGCAAATAAAATACAAAATTATCACTTTAAAATAGCACAATATCAGCTATTTCACAGTTTGAGATGTGAGTCACCAAATGTTTTTCACAATGGTGTAGTGAAATGTATTATTAGAAAATGACAGTGGCTGAATTTTCTAGTTTGGGTTGCTATGTTGGATAATGGAAGCATGAAATAATATTCTTCATAAAATAGCAAGTGGTTTAATTATTTTCTTAAAAATTTATGTAGTATCTACCTACCAATACTACCTACTAGTGTACTACTAGGCAGTCAGAACACAAAAATCATAAGACCTAGCCTTTCATCTCAAGAATATAACAATCTACACAGTGAACTGACTTAAGCAATTTAATAAATGTGTATATATCTCTTTATGTATATATTTGATGATATTATATGACAGAACATATATAGCCTTAACTTGGTCTATCTCTATGAATAGTGAACTAATTGTATCTATGAGCTGCTGTGTGAATTGAGGAAGATAAATCCGATTCTGTGCAAAAAAAGAGTCAGAAGCTGGTCAGGTAAAATCTGAAAGAGAAGATTACACTTGAGTCTTGAAGGATTAGCAGGGATGATCAAGTCAGCAACGGACAGCCAGGAGCAGTGGCTCACACCTGTAATCCCAGCACTTTGGGAGGCTAAGGCAGGTGGATGGCTTAAGTGCAGGAGTTTGAGACCAGTCTGGGCAACATGGTGAAACCCTGTCTCTACAAATTATACAAAGATTAGCTGGGCATGATGGCATGTGCCTGTAGTTCCAGCTACTTGGGAGGCTTAGGTGGGAGGATCACCTGAGCCCAGGAGGTCTAGGCTACAGTGAGCAATGATTGTGCCACTGCACTCCAGCCTTGGCAACAGAGTGAGACCCTATCTCAGAAAAAAAAAATGTCACCAAGGGAGATTGTAGTATGATGTAAAGAAATCATTCCAGATGTTGAATACAGCCTGGGCAACAAGTTTCTCTTTAATAAATCTCTCTGGGGTTTTATATGGAAGCTCTGAGATATTCAGCACATGGTAAAGTACAGAGGGATATTAGGTGAGCAATAGTTTGTTGTTAGCCCTTATCTGGCTCATATCCTGGATGTCCTGGAGGCCAGGGTTTACCTAGGAAAATACGCAGCTAAAGCAGAACAACATCACTATTATCAGTGGGTCTTCTCTTGTTGGGATCTGAGTTTACATGATTCTTTTGAAAGAGAGGTGGGACACTATTTGCTAGTAGATCCATCCTGTGGTAGGTAGTATATATGCACAGGTCACAATAGCAGTACAACCAAACCACTGCAGAGATAAATAGCAGTACAACCAAACATTACTGAAAAAGGAATAAAAGGTAGAATGTGGAAAAAAATGCACTCAGCAAACAAGAGTGGTATCTAAAAGAAACAAGATCAGGCCGGGAGTGGTGGCTCACGCTGTAATCCCAGCACTTTGGGAGGCCGAGGCGGGTGGATCACCTGAGGTCAGGAGTTTGAGAACAGCCTGGCTAACGTGGTGAAACCCCGTCCCTACTAAAAATACAAAAATTAACAAGTTGTGGTGGCAGTTCCCTGTAATTCCAGCTACTTGGGGGCTGAGACAAGAGAATCACTTGAACATGGGTAGCAGAGGTTGCAGTGAGCTAAGATTGTGCCATTGTACTCCAGCCTGGGTGACGAGAGGGAAACTCCACCTCAAGAAAGAAAGAAAAGAAAGAAAAGGAAGGAAGGAGGGAAGGAAGGAAGGAAGGAAGGAGGGAGGGAGGGAGGGAAGGAGGGAAAGAAGGAGAGAGAGAGAGAAAGACAAAGAGAGAAAAAAAAGGAAGGAAGAAAGAAAGAGGAAAGAAAGATCAAACTTGGCTCAAAGTGGTGCTGATGTGGACAAGCCAGCCATGGAAGGCACATGACTTTTTGGATGTGTAATGATTATCTCAAATGTTGATATGTTTGCCCATCTAGTGGACTAAAGCTGTGAGAAAAAAGGGAAACCTCATTAGAAAACTAAAGCCTAATAGTACAAAGCAAGAACAAAATAGTCAGCTAGCTCCTCCTGGTATATATGAGAGAATCAAGGAAATTTAGGGGTTTTTTAGATTTGTAGAAAGTATTACTGTAGCCTTAATATTTAGTCCTCAGATTTCCTGAGTAGTTCAGATGGAATGAAGCATAGACAAAAATATTTATACCAGAACTGAGTTTTTTAAACATCAGTTTTGCAACTTTTCTTTGATTTTCTGTTTCCTTTCTTTCCTTCTGGCCACCAAGCTCAGAAACACACACACCCAGCACTCTGAATACAGTCTCTTGCTGTGTCTTGCAAATGCTTTCTACATAAGTGAGCTGAAGACAGAATTCGGATAAGTTTATGCTTGTAGATGTGCAATGAGATGTCAGAGTTGACAATTCACATAGCCTCTGGACTGCTGGTCAGTAGCGTTTGCTCAATGGGATATAAACTTGTGGATCAAAAGGAATTCTTTCTCTCCTTGACTTCACAGAGCATATGACTTCAACCTGCAGACTCAAAAGGGAAGACCCATGCACAGTATTTTTATCACTAACTGCCCCCACCTCTGCTTATTGACAAAACCTCTGTGATCCCATCAGTCAACAGAAATTTCTCTATATTGCCCACTTTTGGTGCTGCCCCTCTGTGTTTGATCCTAACCACTTTGCAGCATCACCGTTCCTCTCTTTGCCAGTGTTTTCTATAGTGTGTCCCTGCCAATTTCACTTAACATCTCTCTTCCTTAACATCTCAATTCTGTTTCTTCTTATTTTCTCTCCCATTATTACTACCCATACACAGGCCCATATTATTTCTTGCTTAGATCTTTAAAAGCACCTCCAATGGTATTCAATGCTCTGTGTTGCCCCTCCAATCTATTCTACATTTTGTAGTTATGGCTTTCTAAATGTTGATTCTACTCTAATCATATCACGGCTTTTCTTACAATTATTTAATTGCTCCCCATTATTCTTAGAATGAAATTAAAATGTCTTCCAAAGATGAACAAGTCCTTTGTAATCTTGCTCCTGCTTACATAACTCTCTAGTCTTATTTTAAATCATTTTCTGCCTACTTTCTCCTTCCACCTCTACCTTCTCTTGCTTTCCAGTCCATTTGAAATGTAATCACACTGAACTTCTTCCATGCCTTTCAATGTGCAAGTTTCTCTTTCACAGTTCTTCCAATCTTTCCCCTGCCTAACTCCAACTTTTCCTCAGTCTTTATCTCACTTTTCTTTCCCTCTGGAAAGCTTTCCCTAACCCACCAGTTCTCTTGGTTAGGTAATCCTTTTACATTCAACACTGTCTATTGGATTCTTATTGGATTCATTTATATTGTCATGTTTCTGCCTCACAAGACTGCCAACTCGTTGAGAACAGTGAAGTCTTATTCATCTTTAGCATCTAGTGCACAGGCTGGTACCTATAGATTCTTAATACATGAATGGCCCAATTATACTGACAATGTATTCAAGACACTTATTTTCTAAATTACAGACTCTTTTATGCTTCTACCAATTAGAAGCTGAATATTCCTCACCCTCCCTAAATACACTTTTCTAATGCTTTTCCAAACACATTCATTCTTCAAGTGATTTTCCCATGTAGTCTAGGTGCTGCATAGTCCAAGGACCGTCTCTTTCTATTTCATCAAAACAAATAAGAATTCTTAAATACCTCTATCCTTCATAGAGCTTTGTCAGCTAATCGGTCAACGTTATTCAAATTATCCGTTGATTCATGAGTATTTGAATACCTACGGAGCCAGATACTCTCCTATGGACTGGGGATTTAGCAATTAGAGAAGCGATGTCTCTGATTACACATGATCATCTTAGTCTCTCTTCATTTCTCCTTTTCTCAACGAATACTCACTTTCCACAGTGTTTTATGTGTATTTTTACTTTTTGCTCATTGAACAGATATTATTATCTAACTAAGCAGTGTTAGGTACTGAGAATACAAGTGTGGAGCTCAGGACTGTATAGTAATATTAGAAATCCTAATTATGTCTTTATTATACGTCTTAAATTTATGGTTTGAAGTTTTTTTATTTGCTTTTCTGCAACAGAGAGTAAACTTTGGGATGGTAGAAATTATCACATTTACCAATCCTGTATCATATATCTACTACTAGATACAGAATGCTATGTAAAAGTATATTCAACCCTATTTTAGAAGTTAAATATTCCCATAAAAGACAGCATGAGAAAAATCTACAAAACAATATAAAAAGCACTCAAGTGGAAGGCAGGCATCAAAACAAATTTACAGATGTGTGCTCAAGGCAAGAAGAATTTCAGGCCTTTCCTGGGGTTACACAGGTAACCAATGGCTTGAGCTTGGCCTACAGCCTACCACTTCTGGCCACGTGGGACACATACTATGACTCGTGCTACAAGAAAAATGTGCTTTCTCTGAGTGGTGCCTTCCTCTGAGATTTTTTTCAGTGCAATTCCCATTTATTTTCTACTATATTCACTTTATAAGAACTTCAGCAGGACTATATTACCAGGCTGTTCATTTCTTCATTTGTGCATTCGTTGAAATAATTATTGAGCATTCACTTCTTGCCTGGGAGTATTCTAGCACTGGGCACTAAAGTAATGAACAAAACACACAGAAATTTCAGTCCTCACGAAGCTTGCATTGTAGTGTAGGGAGATAGACAATAATATAAATAAATAAGTAAATATTATGTTAGATAGTGATAAGTACTATGAAGAACAAAAATTAAGTGAAAAGGGATATGGTTTTCAAAGGTTTATGTGTGTGTATGTGTGTGTGGGGGGGGGGCGGGTATTTTAAATAGGGTAGGCTGAGGGAAAAGCACTCTAGGTTGAAAGAACAGCAAGTGAAAAGGCCTTGAGGCAGGAACTTACCTAGAGAATTCAAGGAATTGCAAGGAGATTTCTCTAGCCCACATGTCTAAAGTGGAGTGAGTGGTGGAGAAAATACATGAAATCAAAGAGATAAGTGAATGTCAGGTCTATAGAGCTTTATAGGTTACTGTTAGGACTTTAACACTTATCCTATTAAGACTTACAATTACTCTGAAATGGGAAGCCATAAGTGCCATTTGGGAAGAGGAGTGACACGATGACTTAACGTTTTCAAAGAACAACCTGGCTCTTATGTTGAGAATAGAAGGCCAATTAGATGAATATTGTGATGGCATTGTAATCATGATAGCATGGACAAAAGCTATAGTGGTACAAGAGGAAGAATTGATCGTATTTTGAATTTGTTTTGATGATAGAAATGATATTATGTCATGATGGATGGGATGTGAAGTATGACAGAAAGATGAATCCAAGGTATTTTGGCCTGAGCAACTGGAAGAACGGAGCTTCCAAAAACTGAGTTAGAGAAAACAATGAACAGATTTTGAGAGGAAAAGGTTGAGCATTATGTTTGGATATCAGAAGTTTGATATGTCTATTAGACTCCCACAGGAAAACACTGAGTAGAACAGTAGACAAACAAGTCTAGAGTCCAAGGGAGATATCCAGGATGAAGATATAATGGATATACTGCTAGATCCTATAGAAATATAAAGTAGCTCTAAAATACCATCTCTGCTTTCTAGAGATGTATAGTTTGTTGGCTGTATATAATAGATAAGTGAAAGTAATTAAGCAATGAAAAGCAGTAGATGTAGTATTTTTACAAAGTATGTGAGTACCAAAATGAGTGCTGAAGAAAATAAGTGTCATAACACTTCAGAGATGGGAGATAGATATCCAGGGGAAGGTCCTTAGAGAAGATGGGGTTTGAAATGGACTTGAAGCAGGTGCTGAATTTTAGTAGTTACAAAAAAGAGGCGAATCCCAGGCCCAGAAGAAGTAAGAACACAAAACTGTTGAAACATAGATACGCTCTTTCCTCCCATCTAAAACTGTATGTATGGAAGTCTCAAATTAGATTTTAGAGGATAGAATTGCATAAGAAAACTGATCTGATAAAACAAATCACTCTCTTAGAGATTTTTTGTTAGTGAATAACAGATTAATGCATTGTTTTCAGTAAATCAGCCTGGTAGCCACATTGCATATATTCAGTTTTATAAATCCACCTTTAGTACTTCCTCCAAAATGTTGTCCATTAGAGCCTGGGAGCCTAATTAATAAACAACAAAAAAATATAATTCCATAGCTTTTGAAGAGCTTTCACTGGTTTAAAATATAAATCAACCTAGCAAAAATATTTAAATAATATTGATATAAAATTATTAATGTGTCCTTGAGTTCACACTTCTGTCCATTATGAAGCTGTCATATCATTTTTATATATTTGGATAGTCAAGGGCAATATATATCTTTTTGCTCTAGGCAGGCTGTCTGGCAACCCTGTAAGAAAATAGGCAATTTTTCTGTGGCCAGTAAATGCTATCCTACAGAAGGGAAAAGTAACAATGGGAACCAAAGAGGTTGAAATACTTTAAAAATCAAAACATATTCCCCTTCCATGAAGTGGCTTTACTTGCCCTGTTTCTAGTCACACCTTAGTTTTCCAAGCAGACTGTACAATCTGAGTCTTTCTCTAGAGATAATACTGGGTGCAGTCCTCTTCAAAGACAGGATTTGTGCTTGCTTGCAACTCCCAGAGCTCTGTGCTGTCTAGTAGTTAAGATCTCCAATGTGGCTTATGAGCTTTGTGTAATTTCTATCTGCACCCAGACAGCCGGACTTCATTTCGTTTTATTTGCATTTAATAATAAGCCGTCTTTCCTTAGCCCTTAAATTGTGAATTATCAAACACTATCAAATCCTGTCTTCCCATATTCAAGCTATACTTACTTTGAAACAAACTCATTGGTAACATGCTCATCCAGGGAAGAGCTGAGCTGTGTGCCGTGCATCTCAGGGTGGGAACTACTCTATTTCTTGTGGGGCTACAAATGCCATTTCCGATCTAATGTGAACACTGGGAATGGCAGAGAAAGCTTTATGGTGGATTCATCTTTAATTATTAAAACAGGAGAGATTATTCATGCTCCTTTGAAGTTCTTATTTCATTTCCAGTAAAAGAAATGAATGTACAGGTCACTACATGTGAAGCAAGGTAGGTAGTGAGAGTAAAAGGGAAAAAACCCAAATAGAATGATAGAAGAAATGAAAAATAGAGAGGAACAGTGGTTGCAAAGGGGAAAACAACTGTAGAAATGAGAGCAAAACACAGAGATGGCCTGCCTTGTAGGAAGCTGGTGCACAGCTCTTGATAATATTTAAAAATAAGTGGATTTGAAATCTCTTTGCTAAATCATCGTCAGTCTACATAAATGCAACTATGTATCGACAGCCACAGCACTTATAAAAGCTAATAATCAAGGAAAGATGAAAGGTGAGGGGGAAAGATTTTACATATTAACACTTGCTGAGAGATTGTGTCTTCTACCAATAGATGTGGAAGAAAAACACGTATTAGTTCAATAAATTGAGGAAGCAGGAATGGGGCAAGGAGTTGGGAGGAGAAAAGAGTCACAGCCAGAATAAAAAGTCACTTGATATCAAGCATCAAGGATCTCAGTGTGTGGTTTTTCTTTCTGCGTAAAATTGTCCAGTCCCAGTAATTGGAAAGTGAGCATAATGAGGGGGCTGGTCTGAGTCATGCTCTAATGAGTCAAAATTATAGCAGGTTGGCATCTGTTACACGAAAGGACTTGTGTGTGTGGAGGTGGGAGGAAGGTATCATTTTTCAGGAGAGAATGTCAAAAAAGCTTTCCTCTGGCTCAAGGTGTGTTGACAGAATTCTTCATTGGCCTCGGTCAGGGATAACAGAGGGAGCAATAGGGCAGGATTAAGGTCTATTAATGGCTTATATGAATATTATCTCAATGTTATTATAATCACAGATAATGTTACATATCTATATCAAAAACCATTCATTTAGTTGCCTTTCATCTATAAGAAATTTGAGTCTTCTTATGCAGTGAAATATCCATAAGGTTGAGTTTGGGTTGGGACTATGGAGATGCTGATGATGGACACAGAATCTGAATGTTAGCCTGTGGAACAAAGTACCTCATTACTTAATTGTCCTCTAACCCGATACATGTGGGGTTAACACAAGCTTTCCACAATAAAAAGAGAGATATAGAAAGGAAACAAAAACAGGTGCCTTAGATATATGGACAAAACACTAATACTGGAGTTAGAAGAGCAGATTCGCTGGTCTTCCAGCCATAATAAAATCAGTCCCAACTAAAGACTCATTCATAAAACAGTACTTCAATGTAAGTGATGCAGCAAAATCCTCGCTTCCTTGTCGTTCCATGCAAACATAGTGTAAATATATAATCTCATCTATTCTTAATGCCACCAACCTTGAAATATACCAGAAGCTAGTTAGAAACACATTTCCCAGTTCATCACAACATTATATTTAGTTTATCAATAAAACCTTATCTCTACAGACTTACTTTAATAGCTCACATCTATAAGTTAAAAGGATATCATAGATTGGACATCCCTAAAAAGTAGATCCTAAAATGAGGAATTGCATTGTTATGGGATCTTTGGGGTGCTGCTTTTCTGGCTAGAAAACTCTGTGGTTAGTGGTGTCTTTGCCTGAGTTTTTGTTCGGGCCTGCTGGGCTCATTCCACCCACTCAGCCTGGTGGGCTGCACTTGACTCACACTACCAGCCTGGGTCCCACACCTCCAAGGGAGACTGTAAGTCAGACATGGGGCAGTGAGGGGTATGTGAGCAAGCGTGGGGTCCAGGCACTGTGCACTGTCAGATGCACTGGCTATTGCTTCAGGGAGGGCAGCTCCAGGTGCCATAACGGGCACTGGTTCTCTGTGAGGCTGCAGCTAGACCAGATGCACTGCAAGCCGTTTACCCAGCTGGCACCAGGGAATGCACTGATGCCTAGAAACTTGGAGATACCAGGAACCACAGGGGCCCAAAGAGGGAGTCACAGCCCTGGCTTGGGGAGTTCCTAGGTCTGGGCTCTCTGAAGGGCTGCAGCTCTTCTCTCCTTCTCTTTGCCCACAGTGTCATGGGCAAAGGGCATGTTTTAGCTCTGTTTGTGTGTGTTACAGCTCTTTTAGCCTCGACATTCAGCAGGTCCCAAGTTCTTGTCCTGCGACTTGGAAGCATGATATATGCAGACAAGTGGAGGGTGAGCAAGATGAAGAGAAGATTTATTGAGCAATAGAACAGCTCAGAGGAGACCCCCAGTGGGCAGCTTGTCTCCATAGCCAAGGTGTCCCATCAAGTGTCCAGCTCTCAGCAGAGAGGGTGGTTCCTCTTTGCAGCAACTTGTCCCATCATTTCCTTAGTTCTCAACAGAGAGGAGACCCTGGGATGGGCAGCTCCTCTCTGTAGCTTGTCATCCCGTCATCTCCCCATTGTCTCTCTATCCTCTGCTCAAGTCTGGCTGAGTCCTGGGTTTTTATGAGCCTCAGAGGAAGTGTATGCTGATTGGTCCATGGGTGACCATGGGCAGGCCCAGGGAAAAGCACCACAAGTTTCCCCTCTGGTCCATGGGACTGGCAGCCCAGCCCCCTGATTTCAGACCCTCCCCAACCAGAAGGTGGAGCTTCACCAGGGACCCACCTGGTTCCACCCAGGAGCTTGCTTGCTGATGCCCAGGCTTTTCATGCCAAGGGGCACCTTCAGGCCAGCACCAGGCTGTCCTCAGCACCGCCTCAGCCTCTCTCCTGTGCTTGTCAGTGCCCTAAGTCCAGAGGAGGCTGAGGTGGCAGGGAGCTGGCATGTCAGCGTTGCCGTGAGTGTGTGCACCCCCAGCTGGGCTGTGACAGCAGCACCTGGGCTTGGCCCCTGACTTTACTCTGAGATTGGAGCAAGTGTGAACAGTGGGGAGAAGCCAGGCAGTGGGAGCAGACACCCTCCAGCCTGTGGGAGGTAGGAGGACCTTCCCAGGCCCCCTAGAGTGCAGAGATGCCTGAGTCTGCAGCTGTGGAAGGGTGGCTGTAGCTGCACCTGGAGAGTTCCCACTCCACCAACTCAAAATGGGCAGGGCTCCCGCTTGTCCCCAGCTCCCACTGGCTCAGTGGAATGTGTACCCCGGCCATGCCTCTTTGTAGCCTGGTGTGGGAGCTTCAGGTTCTTGCTGGGCCTGGGCAGGCTTTCAGGGCAGGTGTGATATCTCCGCAATTTCTTTCCATGGTCTGGATGCTGTGGCCCAAGGCTCCCCATCACCAGGCTCATGGCCCTGCCCATGGGGTGCCTTTGGGAGTGGATTGAAGCCCTGGGCCTGGCCATTTGGAGTGTCAGGGTTGGCAGTCACCCTGATGGAGGGTGGGCCTCAGGATGTGGCCCTGGGCAGCCTGGCAGAGAACCTCTTCCCAGGCAGAGAAGCCTCTTCCCAAGGCGCAAGAAACCGACACCATCAGTTGGGGGTGAGTGCAGTGGCCACACTGCTGGCTGGATCCCTGAAGTGGGCACCAGTCACTGCTCCCATTTCTCACCCCGGGCTCAGCCCCCATGCTCCAGCCGCTCCAGACGGTCTGCTGCTGCCATCAGTACTATCAAAGTGATTTCCCCGGAATCATTCCCTGGAAAAATCAGTACAAACGTGGCACTGCCCTGGTTCAGCTCTGCCTCTGGGCCCCTCCTTGCCACCCCCGCGCCCTGCTTCCTGCCCAGTCATACTGCTCCCCCGCTAGTGAGCGACCCTCCACCCAACCCCACTGTGGTGGCCCCCAGGGTGGTGGGCTCCAGAAGTCTCCCAGGGGCAGGCTCCAAAGACTGTCCGCCTCCTTCCCATGCCCTCCCCGCAGCAGCAGCAGGCGAGAGTGGCGATGCAGGGCCAGGGTCTGGAGCAGCAGAGGTTCCTGGCCTGCGAGTGGGTCCTGCCTGGCTGCACAAGGGTGGGACAGCGCAGTCAGCGGCCTCGGGGACATGGGGCACGGGGGGGGCGGGGCACAGGGGTCCCACCACCGCCACTGCTGCTCCCGCAGCTGCTCCTGCCGCTACTGCCAGCGCGATGGCAGCAGCCGCTCCAGACGGTCCGCTGCTGACATCAGTACTATCAAAGTGATTTCCCCGGAATCATTCCCTGGAAAAATCAGTACAGAAGTAGAAAAATTGATAACCAATGGGAAGAACCCCAAATGGGAGTGCAATATGATGCAAAATCCTGCTGTGGACAACTTTGGCTCAACTCCACAGAGATGTTCTAAGGGAAATTTAAATCCTGTTCACTTGAGGAGCTCTATATTGTTAGAACAAACCAGCAGCCCAAGGAGAGCCCACTGACAAAGACTTTCAGGTGTCAGCTGTTCTGAGTGAACCCCGCTGGAAGGCAGTGTACATGAAAATGGTAGGAGATTGGAAAGGATATGAGCAGACCACTGACAAAAATCTCCTGAGAAGGAATGACACTTCATAGGCTCCCAACTGTCTGCAGAATATATGGATATTATTGTTACTGTAAGCACGTTCCTTGCCTTTTTTTTTTTTTTTTTTTTTTTTGAGGCGGAGTCTCACTCTGTTGCCCAGGCTGGAGTACAGTGGTGCAATGTCAATGTCATGTGGGCTCACTACAACCTCCATCCCCAGGTTCAAGCAATTTTCATGCCTCAGCCTCCTGAGTAGCTGGGACTACAGTTGCATGCCACCATGCCCAGCTAATGGTCCTTGCCTTTTCTTCCATTGCCTACTTGCATTCCTTTCCAACTCTGCAGAACTGCTTCCATTATCTCAACTGCACCATGCTGTTATACATTTCCTTGCTCTCATACCTGACTATTCTTTGGAATGCCCTTAACTAACCTCTGTCTTTTGATTGCCTGGTAAACTAACCCCCATTCTTGCAGATCCCGCTCAAGCTTTACCTTCTATGTGAAGTCTTCTCTAACTGAACTGGGAAGAATTGGCTTTCATTTCATCATGAAACTATGGCACCTTTAGTCTCCAAAGTGAAACATATCCCACTGCTTACAGTGTCTTGGTTATGGTGTCTTTATTTATCTTTGAAAATCCTAGATCCTTCAAAGCATGTTTGGCACCAGGTTGCTATCCACGAATGTTGCTGAATGTAACTAAATGTGTGTGTGTGTGTGTGTGTGTGTGTGTGTGTATACATACATACATATATAATTTAAGTATAGAAGATACATTGACTTTTTTACCTGGAAGGTCCTTCTGAGGTAATCAAGTCCAAGTTGCCACCCATTACAGAAATTTCTATCTGTAGCATTCACAACTGGTGGACATTTAATGTTCCAGCTAAAACTGTCACCCTTTGTTTAACTATACATTATGCAGCAGTAAGAGTTAATTATGGGAGTGCTCATTCCTTGGGCTAAAATCTTCACATTCTTCTCTTAGTAATTAGAGTTTGTATTAAGTCTAATATTACTTTTTTATTATTTTAAATAAAATAAAATTTCACAGAATTAGTGATAGTTATATTGATGTCAATATGTTCTAGGTTCAGAAGTCAGTAGAGGATTCCAACACAGAAGATAAATGAACATCATGTTCAAAGCTGATACTATCCACCACTGGACATTTCATGGGCATTCATTCTTGCATGTGTATTTTCCTTTTGATTTATATCCAGGGAAGGGTTTTCTCTTGCTACATCGTTTCCTGTGACCCTGCCGTGCATTAGTAAATCATCTGACCAAATTTAGCAATGAAGTTTCTGGCTTTCAAGTAGTCCAAATGAGAAATACCCAGAATGTTTTGTTATTATTAGAGGGACAAGGAATACAGGCCTGTTTTGGAGGGGGAAATCATGGATGATCCAAAAGAGTTAAGAGATATAACTGATATAAAAATGATTGCAATACAAATTTATCCAGCATCACTGTGGCCAAGGCAGGTCCTCTCTGCCTATCAGTCTGTTAGACAGCATCTTTTCTGTTCTTAACACGACTCTCCCATACAGACTAGCACCTTTTAAAAAAAAATCATCTTTTGCCTATTCTACCACAGCTGGAGGTAGGCTAGCTTTTGGAAGAGACACTAGAGAGCCTGTGTTTGCATTTTTTCCTCTATGCCATCTGTTCACAGAATGGATTACAGTTGCCTCCAGTTAAAAAGCAGATTGTCTTGGCCCAAGGTCAGGAGAGAAGTCTCAGCATCCTGTCTGACTGCTAAAAACCTTTTTCCCATCCCTCCAAGACACAAAGGTAACATCTGCAATTAGAACTTGGGTTTCTTGACTGGTTCCTTTTGCTTTTGCATAGCAATGCTCTCCTGGAGATTTGCAATTGCACCTCCTCTTTCTCTGGCCTGGCCTCCTATTTCTTAATGCCAATTTATTTTCTATTGGGCTCATCTTTTTCTTTGTTCTTGTCGTTTTTGTTGTTTTTGTTGCTTTTTGTTTGTTTGTTTGTTTAAGATGCCTGCCGTCAGCCTTGATTTACCTTCAAATGTGCTTGTGCCCAGAACTTTCAGAACTGTGATCCCAATGTACATTATAGGATTGGTGAAAAGAGCTATAGTTATATTTTGCCAGATTACTTTGGCATTATCTTCAAATGAACATTTTGGATATTTCAGGCTCTTTACTTTGTTTATTGGGAATAAGGAGCAGAGAAAGAGAGAAGACAGTGAAGCTGAAAATCAAATCTTCCCCAAATTGTTGGGCAAACACTTTGGAAAAGAAGTAAAGAGATGCAGCGTGTATTCTATCTGCCTCTTCTTCCTCAGAGCTTTCTGTTGGCATTTAGTAAAATATTTTCGTGCGTTTTAGAGCCCTTATGTTCATTTAAAGAAAGATTTCTGAAATTAGAAAGGTCCTTTAGTTAGATCCAGTCAATTCCAGAGTAATGTGCCTTTGAGTGATAGAGGCAGCTCTGGGTGTAAATTGAGCAGAGCTGTAAAATGGCAAGAACAATTGAGAATCAAAAGCTAAAACAAACAAACAAACAAAAAACACTCAACATCACTCCCTCCACCTTTTCCTTTGGGTGAATCAACCAAAAGGTTTTCTGAAATCTGAAAAATAGGGTCAATGTATGCATATTGCTAATGACTTCCTAATTTCTCAGTCAAGTAGCCTCATTTTTTTTCTTCATGCTTCTGTGATATTTGCTCCACTACTACACCATCTTCAGCATGTCTGTTCCTTTCTTGGCCAAAATGCCCCTCTCTCTCTACTTGCCCCCACCACCAATTCAAATGTGGGTATATTCTTATGGTCTTTTATTTTTACACAAGCTCCGCCTCCCAGGTTCACACCATTCTCCTGCCTCAGCCTCCCGAGTAGCTGGGACTACAGGCACCCACCACCACACCCAACTCATTTTTTTTTTCTTTTTTGTATTTTTAGTAGAGACGGGGTTTCACCGTGTTAGCCAGGATGGTCTCCATCTCCTGACCTTGTGATCCACCCGCCTCAGCCTCCCAAAGTGCTGGGATTACAGGCGTGAGATACTGCGCCCGGCAAAAGTAGATATTTTCAATTACATCAAATCTATAGCTATTTCTGTATCTACAACTATATGCATGTATGATGTGGCAGTGACTCAATTTCAGTTTCTATATTATTTTTTTATTTTCACTAGGAAATCCCGATGTTGTTTGCCTTCTCATTTAGATACTCACATCTTTACCCCAACTTACCATCTTTTCCATGGGGGAAAGAGAACCCTAAAACACTGCTTTCATGCTTCAATTCAGTCTTTTGTGTACGGAACCTTTGGACTAAGTTTTTTTGTTAGTTTTTGTTTGTTAGTTTTTTATTGATACATAGTTGCACATATTTTTAGGGTACATGTGATATTTGGACTATGGTTCTGGAATGCTTAAACTCATTTACCCTGTCAACTAACATTTACTGAACACCTCTGTATATATTAGATGTTCTCTGACTCTTCTGTATCTGACATTGAATATCTAAATTGTTCTAATTGTAGTGATTCCTTATTTATAATGCTGGACATTATAAATAGTCAGGCTTGGGCATTTTCTGTCCATATACCTTTATTCCTGGAGCCTCTCCTGAGTTTCTTAAACAGTCACTCTGGTTCTAGATTTTTACCTCTCCATTTATCCTGAGTGCCAGACCCTGATTAATTTTCCTATCTAAATGCTACTCCTGTCAATGCTACATTATTAGAAACCTTTTTTAGTTACATATGCTTACAGTATAAAGTCAATACTTCTTAGGCTGATATCCATGTTCTCCCTCATGTGATCCCAAATTTTATTTCTAAATGTAATTGCCACTGTTGTCCTTGACTCTCTATATAAGATAAACGTTGTGTCCTAATATATTCTGTTCTTCTGTATCTTAGCCCATGAGTTTATTTGACCAGACATATCTTCTCAGATGTTTACTTCTCCTCCTTCATTGTTTCAGCCTCCATCTATCAAAATTCTAGTCATCCTTCAAGATCCAGTTTAAATGTTGCTTCTTCCATTAAGGCTTCCCTGCAGGCTCCAGATGGAAAATGGCATCTTACCTAAATGAAAAGAATGTACTGGCCAGGTTCAGTGGCTCACACCTGTAACCCCAGCATTGTGGGAAGCCAAGGCAGGAGGGTCACTTAAGCCCAGGACTTTGAGACCAGCCTAGGCAGCATAGCAAGATACCATCTCTATAAAAAATATGAAAGTTATCCAAGTGTGGTGATGTGCGTCTGCATTCCTACCTACTTGGGAGACTGAGGTATGAGGACTGCTTGAGCCTAGGAGGCTGAGGCTTCGGTGAGCTAGGATAGCACCTCTGTTCTCCAATCTGGGCAACAGAGCAAAACCCCATCTCTCTTAGAGAAAGAGAGAGAAGAATATGTACTATATGACTGTGTTAGGATGCTGTAGAGGATTAGTGAGCAGTAAGACTGGCAATGTAGACTATGACCAGATGGTGGGGTACCTTGAATGTCTGCCTGAGATGGTTGAATTTTGGAGGTAGGAGATATAAAGGCATGAGCATTTTCTTTTAATCAGAAAATTCTGGTCAGAACTGGATTCAGAAAAATTAGCTCTGTACCTGAATATAGGATCTATTGGAGAGAGAAGAGGTTCTCAGATACCCCTTTGACTCCAATCCCGTGATCTTAACCATTGTGTTATTGGCAGTTACTATGTACTAGGAGCTTTAGGGTTTTTAAGCAGATCTGGGTTGCAAACCTGCCTCTACTGCTTTACTATTCATGTGATCTCTCAAAATTAGTTTCATCATCTATATAATGAAGTTATAATAGTAAGAATTTCCCAAAGTTTTTTGAGGATTAAATAAGATAATACATAAGTAATTAGCACAGTTTCTGGCCCATGGTTACTCTGTAAATGGTGGTTATTTGTAATAGTAGTAGTAGTAGTAGTAGTAGTAATGTCAATAATAATAACTATTCCTTGCTTTATTTCTTTTATACACAACTCAAAAATTTTAATATACACATACCTACTAACACCACAAAGGCTAATCTTCTTTGGCTTATATAAAACACTACCCCAAACAGTACTCAAAGCATTCATTATCTTTTAAATTGCCTGTTGTGTTCAATTTCCCAAATGGTAACTAGACAGATAGATATTTAAAAATAAGCAGACCTATTAAGGAAAGACATTCCAATAAAATACAGGGTGACTTACAAGAGTCTCTTAATAATCATGAGTCTCTTAATAATAATAGACTGAGACTTTTGTGAATCCTTAAATTTGCAAAGATGCATAGAGAATAGGGACATCACACTGAAGTAGAGACTGGATAGGCTTCAAATTCCCTACACAGCAGCCTCTTTGGATTTGAGATTCAACTTGGCCCTTGTGAAGTTACAATTTACTGTTTTCCTTGCATCTTTAAGAGTGCTCTCAAATAGTGGGAATAATAAAAAATAAATCCTTGCATGGCATCCTTACATGGCTGAAGTCAGCTTATGTACACCTTACTATTTGTGTTCTAAGAAGTTGTCTCATAGAATCATAACACTTTAAAGCTTGCTGAGAATTAAAGGATTTTAACCAACTTTCTCGAGTGATGTATATAGAAACTGAATCCAGAATATGGGAAATATCTTGGCCAAGGTGATGTGGCTGATTTCAATTCTCCCTAATTTCAATCTCTTTTTAGACTCTTAGGGAAAGAGTCATATAAACATAGCGTTTCCTTTTCGCCTTCTTTCTCTTTGGTTTTGTGTTTTTTTTTTTCATTCCTTCTTGAGTTTCCTATGGAAATAAAAGGAGCTAGATTCTGACCCTGTGACTGAGTGAAGCTCAGTAACTTACATGCACCCCTGCTTGTCCTATAATCCAGCTAGACTCAGTGACTGCTTAGTGCCCAGCACCTCAATAATTCATTTCACGTATTCTAGTCGGTGTTGTTTTGACATACAGCTTTTGAAAGTGAAAGGTAAGAAAGGGAGCATAGAGCTTTGCCCTGGTTATCCATGCTGGACTGCTTTGAATTAGAAAAACATAATTACTTATAAAATAGTGTGAGAAAATTGTACCTATTAAAATATGTGACTCAAAATTAAATGTGTTTTCTGTGTGGGTGGACAGGTGGTGATATGCAAGAAAAGGAAAAAAATCACGAAACACCTCCTCAAAGCTACCTTTTCTCTGCTTCTAATTTTTAGAACGTTTGCATGTACTGAGAACAATGCACCATCTGTCATCAATATTGGGAGTAATCCAGCTGATTTGTTAACTTTATCACTGTATATATCCCACCTCACTCTGTATCCTAGGCTAATGGGTCTAATTATATGTTTCAGAATACAGTAATTCTCAACCCCCAGTGTGCTGCAGACTCACTCTGTGAGCATAAGAAAATAAATCAATATGGATACCCAGGTCCCACTTCCAAAAATTCTGATTCAATTGGGCTGAGATGTAGGCCATGCATCATAGGGTGTCTATGAAATATTTTTAGGTGATCCTAATGTACAGACTGTTGAGAACAACTAAGCTACTGATTTCAGAAGCCAAAGCAATTGATGAATGAGATGGTCAAAATATGAGAATATTCTTCAGAATAAAGAGGTAACCTCATCCCAAATTGAGACGTGAGGTAGCAGCAGGCTAGGAAGTAATCAGATAAATTGTGGAGGATACTGGTGTGGTATTTTTTTCTAAATTGCTTAACATGTCATTTTAATCAGAGAAAGATGGTAGATTACTGTTCATTGCCAAGCAGAGATAGGCCAAATAATTCTCTGGCTTGATTAATGAGTTTTTTTCTTAAACAAGTGAAATGAGCATGTACTTGTTTAACAAAGTCCCTTTACATGGCTTGGTCTGAGGTTAGTAGGTTTAGATCTCAGCTGAAGGAGGAAAGTACTAGTTAGATTGCAGCTGTTAGACACCAATACACTAATGAGCCAACTATGGCATCTAATCAATGTGTGAAAAATGGGTAATGCTCACTAATGCCCTGCTAATGTTCTCATAATGATCTGTCAAAGTGCTAGAGCTAATTATTGTCATGGTAATTTGGCCCAAGTTCACTAGGGATAATCCTGGCATTGGTGAATAAGAACATACATTGCCAGTGTGTCACATACTTTATATCTACTTTTCTATTTCTCCTCACATGGAGATCCTGTGTGTCATTTTCTATAAACTTTTAAACATGTACTTACATACTTCATTTTTCGTTCGTTTTCTTGTTTTTCAAGCTCCATGTTTTGTCTTTTCATCCTATTTCCATTTATTTTTATTGCAAAAAGTAATGACGAGGATACTGGACAGGCACTTAAGAGCCCTAGGACCTGGTCCTGGTCCACTACTGTCAGAGCAAGGCATTTTATCCTTATAGTAACAAAGAACTAGATAAGGCATAATGTACTTATTGCTTTAAAATAATAGAATTCTACATTTCCCTTTTATGTCCACTCAATGTTTTTGTCCATAGTACCATTTTTTTTTCCTTCAAGTTTATTCATCACCATGGAAATTTACTTTTGAGCTATGGGGCATATAGCAAGCAAGGTGGCTACTGTTAGTCCATGACACAGAAAATGGAGCTCACCTGCTATAGAGATTTAGAAGAGGGAGTAGAAAATAGAGGTTTCAGATACGAAAAAATACTTCAAAGTATTATACATAGCAAGGTAACACTGTTGCCTCCAAACTTTCTCCTAGAGTAGTTTTTCTTGCAGAAGAGTTTCTCATTTATAATCTCTTCAATAATAAATTACCATAGCAATGCTTTGGATCAATATAGCACGTAGTGAAGGGCTCAGATCCCTTTTTATCTCAGTTTACAACATCCTAGTGAGATAGCTGGATAGCTGGGCAGATAATAGCTAAAGTAGGCAAAGGGAAATTAACATTTATGGACAGAACAATTTTGCCTTACACATTTCCTTTTTGAAAGCATTCTTTATCTTAAGGCTGTTCTTCTGTGTGTGTTTACAGAAGATATTTTCAGTAAATGCAACCCAACATCGTAAGGCACTTTGCCCTTTTTCACCTTGAAGTCAAATAAGGAAAGGAGGCAACTTTTACTCCCATAATAGACAAAAGCTGTAACATGTAACAAACTCGGGGACTTTAAAAGATTTTTTAAAAATATGTAAACATGACCTTAGATCAGAGGTCAGCAAACTTCTCCTATTAAAGACCAGATAGTAAATATTTTATTTTATTTTTTTATTATACTTTAAGTTCTAGGGTACATGTGCACAAGTGCAGGTTTGTTACATATGTATGCATGTGCCATGTTGGTGTGCTGCACCCATTAACTTGTCATTTACATTAGGTATATCTCCTAATGCTATCCCTCCCCCCTCCCCCGACCCCATGACAGGCCCCGGTGTGTGATGTTCCCCTTCCTGTGTCCAAGTGTTCTCATTGTTCAATTCCCACCTATGAGTGAGAATATGAGGTGTTTGGTTTTTTGTCCTTGCGATAGTTTGCTGAGAATGATGGTTTCCAGCTTCATCCATGTCCTTACAAAGGACATGAACTCATCCTTTTTTATGGCTGCATAGTATTCCATGGTGTATATGTGCCACATTTTCTTAATCCAGTCTACCATTGATGGACATTTGGGTTGGCTCCAAGTATTTGCTATTGTGAATAGTTCCACAAAAACATACGTGTGCATGTGTCTTTATAGCAGCATGATTTATAATCCTTTGGGTATATACCCAGTAATGGGATGGCTGGGTCAAATGGTATTTCTAGTTCTAGATCCTTGAGGAATTTGCCACACTGACTTCCACAATGGTTGAACTATTGAACCAAAAGTGTAAAAGTATTCCTGTTTCTCCACATCCTCTCTTAGCTATATGTTCTTTTTATGTTTTGCAACCCTTTTCAAATATAAAAACTATTTTTTTGTCTCAAACGCTGTACAAAAACAAGCCATGGTCAAATTTGGCCTCCAAAACATAGTTTTCCAACCTCTCCCTTAGAATCAAGTCCATATTGTATGATCCTAAGACACTTAGGCCAACTGGAACACTGATGTTCACATGCCGATGCTCCTAAGAGGGGATGTTAACATATCCAGATAAGTAAAGTCCACATCTAAAAGGTGGTCTCTGCGGTAGTCAACTTTATGAAAGTAAGATTCATTTTGTGGAAGGAATGCACTCTCTAATAAGCAACATAACCCTAAGTAGCAGATTTCTAAATTCTATCAAAAGTTCATCAGGGCTCAAGATATATGTTGTTGTCTAGGTTGTATCCAGCTTATAAAACTGATAGGTTTCTGAAAAGTAATTCTAAAATTGAAGGTTTGTTGAGTGAATCATTTTTCTCTTGTCATTTTAAGATAGCATTACTGATAACTCCCCTGGAAAAAAATATTTTACTGTGGGACGTAATAGAGAATGCTCTTTATAATACTGGTGTTTTACTCATTTTTGGCAAATAATTTGTATTCCCATCATTCCATATACAACCCTCAATGAGGAAAGTTTGTCAAGAAATAACCAGTCCACATGATCTTTCATGTACATTATAATACACACAAATACATACGTGTATATGCACAAATACATAGTTCCAGATTTCAAGTAGTTAATAACTTTTTCATTGGACAGTCTAATGATCCATTGAACTTGTATATTTGCAATAAAGAATTTTTAGTCAGAAGAGACAAAGGGAAATATTTTCTATAAAACAAGCATCAATTTATTAGATCTAGATTAAATTTTTCTCTCATTTGGATCTGATAAAACCAAAATGGAGTAACAAACAAAAAGAGGGGGTAAATATCTCTTTTAAAATAAATACCTCTTTCCATATGAGTGACAATGAAGACTGAAAACCTAAATACATTTTGTCAGAATTCATTTTAATGTGCATATATTATATACCTGTAAGGAATATAACATAGGAAGCAGCAGCCTTTGATTTAGCTTCTAATTTTGATGAATTAATTCTATCAGTCATAAGTATATAAGTTCATGCTGTGTTTAGTATAGCAATACTTGTAACAGTGTAAACCAAACCAAGGCAAACAAACAAAAAAACCAAAGCTATACCCAATAGAAATACCCATCAATAGAAGAATGCTTGAAGATACTGTAATATATTCATATTATGAAATATTTTGCAGTCATTGATAAGAATCAGATTGTAATCTATTCATATGGAAGAATGTCCAGAATGCATTAAGTTATAGAGCTCTTTATATAGTGTGAGCCCCACTTTGTAAGTACAAACTCCACAGTATATTTGTGTAGTTTGTACAAAATGGAGAAATAATGAGGAAAAACATATACTGAGGCTGTTAAATTGGTTGCCTCAGGAAAGTACCAGTGGCAGGGGAGTGGGGTAGGGAGTGTGAAGTGGGCAGGCAACAATGGGTAGAGATTATGGAACTTCTATTTATCAAATTAACAACAAAAATAAAGATAAAGAAAGGCACACAGATAAAGGAAATATAGGACATAATTATATATCACTGATCTTAAATAGATACTACCTTTTAATGAGCAATAAATCAATTATATGCCAGCTAATGTGAGAAACATTAAAAGTAGATTTCTATAATTCTATTTTGACATATAACTAATAGTAATATTAAAAACAGCTCACAGTATCTCTATACGCTCCAAATACTATGTTCAGCCCTTTCTATGGATTATAATTTTTGCCGCCTATAGCAACCCAAGAGGTACATGCTATTGATAATCCTTTTTTACCAATGGGAAAACCATGAATCAGTGAGGTTGTCAGTAGCTCATTCATATGGCCTGAATGGGTAGCATGGAATTTTAAACCATGGTCTGCCTGCATCTAAAGTCCTTGTTCTCAGCAAAATCATGTTATTACACAGTATATGGTAGTGTTCTAGAAAGAGTCTGAGGGTATAGAATTTTAAACATAGGAAAGCCCATGATTATAGATAGTTTGCCAAATCAGAGATTCCAAACACAGAAGCGATCTGAGTGAAATGAAGGGTTTATGACAATGACTAAGTTTCCATCTTTCAATCCTACATTTGCCTGTAAGTAAGCGTCTTTTATCAGGTCATCCATGTCTGACTATTTCTCTTGCTTGTTCAAATATTTCTTCTAATTTCCACTCTCTTGCTTACCACAGATCTTTTTGATTATGCTGATTCTTATGGTTTTCACCTCTGGTCCTATAAATATATATATTTTTTTCTTCTGTACCCTCTGACTTCCTATAAAGGATTCTTAAATACTATTTACAGTTGGCCCAGCTGTTATTTCTATTCCAACTGCCCACTTGATCCCGACAGATTTTGATCTGAGCAATCTTCCAGAAATATAGGTCAGATCATGTCACTTCCCTGCTTAGAACTCTTCAAAGTCTTCCCATTGCTGTTAAAATTGACATTTCTGCCCCAGCCTATCAAAAACCACACATGATCTGGCTCTTTCCTTATGTCCAATAATATATACTCTACTCTCCATGTCTCAAACTAACTGTACTCTTGTTGAAATGTCCATGTCTGGATCTCTAAGAGTCGTGATTCTTCTTGTCCTTCTCACCTACTCAGAGAAACTGCTCTGGCTACCCCATCACTTTTTATCCCAGTGGTCTGTTTTAATTCTCAGCATGACACTGAAAACATATGCGACTATATCTTTGTTAGGTTAATTAAAAATAATCATCTTTTTAATTTACAATTACCATAGCAATACAATGTATAGTCAATAATACAATTAAATTATTCACTAATAGTGACTGTTATTTCTTTAACATTTACCTTGAAAGACAACAGCATTCAGAATGCCCGTAGACTCACAAATGCTGTTCTCAAGAATCAATTTGTCATGGTAGGACTCGTGTGTGTGTGTGTGTGTGTGTGTGTGTGTGTGTGTGTGTGTGTGTTCTGAGCAATTACCAATAGGAAAAAGAACAGATCAAGCATAAATCCTGGGACATGCATTACTTCTGCCCTTTACTCACTGTGTGACCTTGACCAAGGTCAATTTAACTTTGTGAAGTTCAATTAAATCAGCTGTAAAATGAAATTGATCTTATGTATCTTATAGACATATCTACCTTATAGACTAGGTGAGGTTGTCCACTAATTGGGAGGAAGGTGGAGTAAGAGGTTTCTTATGTCAACCTTACTTCAGTTTTCAAAATTGTAAGCAATAACTATTTATGTAATTAGTTTAACTTTGTATCTTCACCACTGTATGTCTTATGTCATCAGGAATAGTATCTATTTCATAAATCTATAAATGCTCAGCATTTTCAGTGCCAAGACATAGAAGACCATCAATAATACTTGTTGAAATAATTAATTTCTTGTAAAGATCAAATAAACTGCTATACAGTGTAGCTCTTTATGACTTCTAAAATGTACTACAAATGTATAATATTAAATGATTCTCTACACTGGAACCTAAACTCTTTGAGAGAGAGATGTTTTTACTCATTGCTCTTCATACCTACAAAAGAAAGACTGCCCCTCAGGCGAGTAGGCTCTGGGAAATTATTTTTTGCAGGAGGCTTTGTCCATATGGGTTGCAAAATCACCTAAAATTAGTGTGCCAGCAAGAGTCTGGTAAACCAGACTGAGATGATCCCTTGAAAAAAATACCACAACAGCTTCCAGGAACAATCCATTAGCTTGACCATTCACCTGGAACTGAGCATGGCCACAGGACCCTAGGTTGTTTCCATTGTCATGAGCCTTGGTGCTCTTGTGAACATGTGGTCAAAACCACACAAAGTAGAGGTTTGGAGAAAAATGTGAAGGAGAGAAACAGTTCTGTCAAGGTTTAAGCCCTAGAAGGAGACAGAAAATTTGAGGAAGTCACTCTAAAGTTTAGGTGCTCCCTGAAGCACTGAGGCCAGACTATGGCTCTGCTTTCTAGAAACTGAGGTGGAAGAGCCATGCTGATGCCTGGGGCAAAGTATTATCAGAGGAGTATGCTAAACTGAGATCCTGGCTCTAATTCTGGCTCCCAATTAACTGGTTATTTTCAGGCCAACTGTATGTATTTCTGTCTTCTAATTGGTTAAAAGAAACAATGATGTTTTTCTTATCTAATTCCCAGTATTGTGTGTGTGTTTGTGTATTATTGACACACATATACATATATAAAGGGCTCCATGGGATTTCAATATTATTAGAAGTCATGAAGAGCATGAAAACAAAATCAGTGAATCGGCCATGACTTAGAAGAAATTGTATGCCATTGACCAATAAATACTGAGTTTGCAAAGATCTAGAACAACAAATACCATTTAACCCAGCAATCCAATTACTAGGTATCTATCCAAAGGAACATAAATCGTTCTATTACAGAGACACATGCATGTGTATGTTTATTGCAGCACTATTCAAAATAGCAAAGACATGGAATCAACCCAAATGCCCATCAATGATGGAATGGATAAAGAAAATGTGGTACATATACATTATGGAATACTAAGCTGCCATAAAAAGGAATGAGATTATGTCCTTTGCAGGGTCATGTATGGAGCTGGAAGCCAATTAACCTCAGCAAACTAACGCAAGAACAGAAAACCAAACACCACATGTTCTCACTTATAAGTGGGAGCTGAACAATGAGAACACATGGACACAGGGAGGGGAACAACATACACTTGGGCCTGTTGAAGGGTGGGGTTGGGGAAGGGAGAGCATTAGGAAAAAGAGCAAATGCATGCTGGGCTTGATACCTAGGTAATGGGTTGATAGGTGCAGCAAACCACCATGGCACGCATTTACCTTTGTAACAAACCTGCACATCCTGCACATGTACCCCAGAACTTAAAATAAAAATTAGAATAAAAAAATAGTGAGGTGTATGTGGTAAATAAAATGGTATTTGAACTGGTAGACTGAAGAAAAGAGGGAATAAAGAGGGAAATAAAAGAGAGGGTATTTTTATTTCAATAAAAACTAATTGAAATTGTCTTAGTAGTAGTACAAATAGATAAGACAAATTTTGTTGATGGCTGTCTTAAAATACAGAGTTACGAGTTGGGATTTATTTAATATCTGTGGAGAAGTTATTGAACAAGATTCTGATTTGACAAAAAACTGTTTTAAAAAGATTAGTTTGGCAGTAAGTGATGAATTATATAAACATTTATAGGTGCTAATTGATCCCCACTGGGGTGTCTTTGAAATGTGTTTTCTTTCTTCAGCTTCTTTTAAGTTCTCTTCTGGCATCAGTAAAAAATACCTAATCTGGAGAGATCCAGTTACATAAATAAAAAATACTACTCTTGTTAGTTAAATGTAAAAACTGCACTAAGAAAAAAATGCTTACAGACAGATTAATAGTACAAAAATATTATTCCTTTGGATGAACCCAAAGAACCATCAATAGCAAGAATTAAACTGTGGCTTTCTTGAAGTGTTTGTGGGGTTTCAAGGATAAACCTGAATCCCACTGCAATCTCCTGATATAAGAGGTTTTGTTGTTGGTTTTTGTCTGCTTTTGAAAGAAGTCAAGCATTGGTATGGCCTGTGAAAGTAAAATATTTTGTTATTGTAATAAGAAGGAATCCCTTTTCCATCACATTTTTTATCCAAAATAAGAGACACAAAGTTTTTGTATTTGAGAAATAGATAAATAGATGCAAGATTATCTCATCATCCTTGTTTAAAATTAATGGACCCAGTAGCTGTTTCACCTTATTGCATTTATCAGAATTCAAAGAGCATTCCTTATAAGGAATTGATAAGACTCAAAATATCTAACTGCAGCACCTCTCCAACTTACAGATTGTGTTCCAAACATTTGTTGGCAGACATTATTCTGAATAATTATCTTGAAGTTCTGAAAAGTTCATGCTGCTGTACTACAGAGCAGGCCTCTGAATATTAGCAAGCAGTGCATTGATGAAGTCAAATAAAAATTATTAGAAGTTAATTATATACAGAGTAAAATTATGCACAACAGTTATAATCCTACAAAGAAAATTGTCATAAATGATGTACAGTTTACATAAAAGTCTACATTTTGAAGTGTTTTTATACAAAATGAAACTTCAATGCATGGAAAGTATGTATGGATTTTAATCTTAAAAACACTAAAGAGAGTCGAATGATGAAAATAAAAATCCAGAATTATTCAAAGTAAGTTTTATCAATTATGTTCAGTTTCTTTTCAACATTTAATTTCAGGATGATTTTTATGATCCTCAACTGTAAATGTTAATACAATATCTTATAGATATTACAAATAAAATCTATCATTGAGCACTGTAGTTACTATAAACAACAAAAATACTTTTGTTAAAAAATGAGTAAAAAGGAAGGATGCAATATTTTATGTATACTATGACATTTGTAGCATAAAACCAAACTCAAGCATATAAAAAAAATCCTGTGGGAAAAAATATTAAATGTTAGTGGTGTTTAGCATTAGGTGATAGGCTATGGGTTTCATTTTTTATTATTTTTATTTTTTACTAATTTAAAAAACTTCCTAAATTCCTTTTTCTCTAATCGAATATGACTAGTAATACATTTTCTAAATTTCATGGATGCATATACTTAAAAAATTTAAAAAATAGTTTGCCTGTTTTTTAATATTAACAGTTTGTTTTCTTTTTCCAATACTTTCCCAGCAACAAACAGCAGCCAAAAATGTTCAGCGTGAAACCCTGTTTACAGTCCTTTTCTTCCAACAGTGGTTGAAATAGCCACCTTTTCTTCTCTTAGTCAGCATATAATAATGATTATAATAGTGATGATAGACAAAGAACACAAAATAGCATGCATTTGAAAATCATAACATGACTTCAAAGCAATTTTCACATATGTTTTCTGATTCGTTCCTCATGATATGAACTCTGTGAAGTAGATGACTTATTTATTAAAGGGAATCAACTCTTTTTTGTGCCTGGGCCCAAGGCAGGAGAAAGATTAAAGGAGCTATGCAGCCTGGAAGAAAGACATCTTAAGTCTTGACTGAACCATTGTTTATTTACCTAGGGAATATATTTATCACCATTTCCTCATTCTCAGAATCTCTGTTGGTAGCAATTCATGTTCTGGGGTCCTAGGAGAGCTCAGTTTGTGATCTTTCAGTTCTTGAGTCTAGGGTCAGTTGCATAGCCTGTAGAGAAATGTGTAGGATGATTGTAGAGATTGGATGGCACCAAAAATACATCAATAAATGAAATAGTGACAGTTATAGTGGCTTTGAAAAATAAGAAGTGAGTGCTGACAAGATTTACTGATTATTCACTATTGTATTTTTTGTTTCGTAATTGAAATTCTGTACAATTCAGAGATAATAAAACACAACCAGAAATCCAGTAGGTAAAGTGCAGATTAACCAGGTTTTGGATTTCATCTCTATATGATTGACATTCTTGGTGTCATGGAGTCAGCCACAATCTTTTAGTATCTCAATTCATTATTAGTAAAATGCAGTTAATGTTGTCATAATACTTATTAAGCTTATTAAAACTCATAGGAGAGAGGTACTAAGTTTCAAATGGCATCGTTCTTATGGAATGGGAAATGCCTACCAATTTTCTCAAAGTGTTTCATGAAAATCAAATGTCTCCATGCAAAAAGTAAGTCTCTTGAATGCAATATAAGAACACCTTCTTCTTGTATTACAACTGAATGTGATTTTATTGAAAATGCCTATGGAATCACTGCTATCCTCAGCAGAATAAAGAAATTTTCAGTGTCTTGCAAGGTATTAATCATGTTTTCTAAAAAGTGATTGTTAATGAATTCCACAGTTCAATCTCTTGACTGCTGACCTTTTTCACCACATAATTTGAGCACCATATAGATGGCGTTTTCTTTTATATAAGATATTAGTGATGGAACATTGAACTGTACATTACATGGAGGACCCTGAAGAGGTCATTATAATAAAATGTGAATGTTCTCACTTGCTTTATGTAATGGACTCTGGGATTCTTAAGAGGTTTGCAGATACTGTCTTTGATCATGTTGGCTGACTCAGCTAGTATGTTCTCCATTGCCTTGATATGTGAGAAACTAACTCTAAAGTCAACAGCTCCATGAACCTCAATATTGATTATAGACTATTGCTTTGGGGTGTGTGGGAATCCAGATCCTTCCATTTGCTCACACTACTGGAATCCCTTTTTTCTTAAATATACAAATAAAATTATTCAGTTCCAATTCCATATATTCAAAGACATTCAGAGTCTTCTTCAAAATTTCCAAAACATATCAAGGGCATCATTTTGGTAGGTCTGGGCAGAGTTGGGGAAATTAGGTACTTCTCATAACTTTTTTCCAATTTTTAAAAAATTATGATAATATGCATATAACAAAATTTACTGTCTTAGGCATATTTAAATGTACAGTTTGCTGGCATTTAGTGCATTTATATTGCTGTGCAACCATCACTACTATCATCTCCATAATTCTTTCATCTTCTAAAACTAAGCCCTATACCCATTCGAAAATAACTCCCCATTCCTTCTTCTTTCCAGTTCCTAGAAGCCACCATCCTACTTTCCGTCCTTATGAGTATGAGTACTCTATATACCTCATATAAGTGGAATAATGGCTTATTTCACTTAGCATAATGCCTTCAAGTTTCATCCATGTTGTACCATATGTCAGAAATATTGTTTTTAAGTTTGAATCATATTTCATTGTGTATGTGTGTGTGTGCATATATATATATATACATATATATAAAAAACACGTTTTGCTTATCTATTTATCTGTCACTGGGCAGTTAGGTTGCTTCCATGTTTTAGCTGTTGTGAATAATGCTATTAACGTGGGTATACAAATATATTTTTAGATTATGCTTTCAATTTTTTTGAATATACTTAGAAGTGAAATTGCTGGATGATATGGTAAGTGTATTTTCAATTTTTTGAGGAATTACCAAACTGGTGGTAAGAATGTAAAATGGTACAGGTGTTGGTATTCCACAACATCTGTACCATTTTACATTCCTACCACCGGTGCAAAATTGTTTTAATTTATTTGCTTCTTCACCAACACATGTTATATTCTGTTTTTTTTTTTTTAATAGCAGCTATATAAGGAGTGTGAGATGGCATCTACTGTAGTTTTGATTTGCTTTTCCCTAATGATTAGTGATGTTGAGCATCTTTTCCTGTGCTTATTAGTAATTTCTGTGTCTTCTTTAGATAAATGTCTATTCAAGTCTTTTGCCCATTTTTTTTTAATAAGGGCAATATTCAATTAATATTCTGAATATTCTTTTTATGATAGTATTTGCAAATATTTTCTAACATTCTGTGTATTGCCTTTTTACTCTGTTGATAGTGTCTTTCAGAGCCATTTGTAAAAACTTTTATAAAGTTCAACTTGCCTTTTTTGTCTATTATTTTGTTGTCTGTGCCTTTGGTGTCATATCCAAGAAATCATTGCCATCAAATGTTGTGATTTGCCCTGTCTTTCTCTAAGAGTTTTACAGTTTCACATCTCACATTTAGGTCCCTTATTCACTTTCAGTTAATTTTTGTATATGGTGTTAGGTAAGGGTCCAACTTCGCTCATTTGAATTTCAACATCCAGTTTTCCCAGCACCATTTGTTAATACTGTCCTTTCCCCCATTGAATAGTCTTGGTACCCTTGTCGAAAATTATTTAATCATACAGGCAAAGCTTTATTTTGGGGCTCTGTATTTTATTCCATTGGCCTATATATGTCTTTATGCTATTACTGCACTGTTTTGATTACTATAGCTATGTAGTAAGTTTTGAAGTCCTGCAAAAAATGTCATTGGGATTTTGATTGGGATTGTATCGAGCTAGTAGTTCACTTTGGGTAGTATTGATATCTTAATAGTGTTGTCTTTCAATCTGTAAACATGAGATGTCTTTCCATTTACTTATAACTTCTTTAATTTCTTTCAGCAATGTTTTATAGTTTTTATTGTACATCTTTCTTATTATTAAGTTTATTCCTAAGTATTTTGTTGTTTTTGATGCTTTCATAAATTGAATTATTTCCAAACATTTCTTTTCAGATTGTTCATTTTTAGTGTATAGAAATGTAACTGATTTTGTGCGTTGATTTTGTGTACTACTTTGCTGAAATTATTTATTAGTTCTAACAGGTGTGTGTGTGTGATCTTTGTAGTAGTCTATAGAGAAGATCATATATCTCCAAAGAGAGATAAATGTACTTTTTCCATTTCAATTTGGATACTCCTCTTAATTTCTTTCTCTTGCCTAATTGCTGTGGATGAGCTTAGTATTATGTTGAATAGAAGTGATGAAAGCACACACCCTTGCCTTGTTCTTGATCTGAGAGGAAAAGTTTTCAGTCTTTCACCATTGATTATGATGTTCACCATGGGTTTTTCATATATGGCTTTTCTTACGTTGGGGTAGTTTTCTTCTGTTACTAGTATGTTGATTGTTTTTGTTGTAAAAGGATGTTGAATTCTGACAAATGCAAAAATTGGGATGATAATGTGTTTTTTTTCCTCTTTATTTTGTTAATGTGTATATTACATTGATCAATTTTTGTTTCAAACCATCCTTTATTCCAGGAATAAATTCTATTTGGTAATTGTGTATAATCCTTTCATATGCTGCTGAATTTAGTTTTACAGTATTTTGTTAAGGATATTTGCATCAATGTTCATAAGGGATATCGGTCTGTAGTTTTTTTCTTGCAGTGTCTTTTTCTGCTTTGATATCAGGGTAATGCTAGCTTCATGAATAAGTAAGGGGAATGTTCCCTCCTCTTCAAATATTTGGAAAAGTTTGAGAAGGATTAGTGTTCTTTAAATGTTTGGTAGCATTCACCAGTGAAGCCATCAGTTACTGGGCTGTTGTTTTCAAGAGATTTTTGATTTATGATCCAATCTCTTTACTGCTTGTAGATATATTCAGATTTTCTATTTATTTATGGCATAGTTTTGGTAGGTTTTGTGGTTCTAGAAATATCCAATTTGCTGGTATACAATTTTCTCAGTACTCTCTTATAATCTTTTTTATTTATGTTGAATCAGTAGCGATGTCCTCACTTCTATTTCAGATTTCGGTAATTTTAGTTTTCTCTGTTTTTTCTTAGTCCATCTATAGCTAAAGTTTGTCAATGTTGTTGATCTTATTGAAGAACCAACTTCTGGTTTTGTTGATTTTCCCTGTTATATTTCTGTTCTCTATTTCAGCTTGCACCCGTGAGGGGACATGCAACAACCACGGATGGCACCTCTTTGTCTGCACTTCTGTGACTGCAAGCAGCAGTCAGTGATCAGTGCATAGACCCCTGATATTTTGGATGGCAGGGTCATTTTTACCCTCCCCTCAACTCCCCACAAAATGTGTGCATGCTGCTTAGGTAATATGTGTACAACTGCCTGCCAAGACACTGGGGGTTGGGTGAATGGTAGCTACTACTCTGCTAATTGATGAGATTGGACAAAATTAGTCACCATTTACTCTTCAAGCCTTTCCCGGAAATTTCTAAGCCTTCAGTACACTCTAGAGTTCCAAAATAATTAAGCAGACAGATTCTGCCAGTACAACTGTTATCTGGTAAAGGGACAGATTTCTGGTGCTTCCTTCTCCATCATCTTTCTAGAATCCTCCCATTCTTCTCTTAGCTTTACTAAATTCTTGTTCTTGTTGAATTCTTAATTACATATTTATAGACTCCTTCCTTACAGCTGATGTCTTCTGTTTTATGTTCCCTCAAACATCTTTTCCCTTTTATTCCCCAAAACACTATAACTACAAAATTGTTGTGTGCATAGAATTTTTAAAAGCTTAATGATAATAAATAGATACAGACTATAGCACATACTAAAAATAACAGTATGTTTTGTTCGTTTTAATATTCTGTTTAATGTATTAGTTTGCTCAGTGTATTAGTTTGCTAGGGTTGCCATAACAAAATACCACAGACAAAAAATAGAATTTTTTTCCACAGTTCTGGGGTTGTTGGAAGTTTAAAATGAAGGCGGCACCAGGGTTGGATTCTTCTGAGGCCTCTCTTGTTGGCTCGCAATTTTTGCCTTCTTGCTGCCTCATCATGTGACCGTTTCTCTGTGAATGCGCCCCACTGGTGGCTCTTCTCATCCTTATAAAGACAGCAGTCATGTTGGATTAGGGGCCCACATTAAAGGCCTCATTTAACTTAATTACTTCATTAAAGAACTTAGCTCCATGTATGGTTATTTATATTCTGAGCTGGGGGAGGTTTGGGAGGGGAGGGAGTTGAGATGTTAATGTATGGATTTTTTGGGAGAGACGTAATTCCAGTCAATAACATTCTATTTTCACTAACACCTCTAATTTTAGTAACTTCCTGTTTCTCCGTTGACCCTCCTCTTCCTCCTTTTCTTTAAATCTCTGTGCCCTCCTCTAAACTTATTCATTCTAGAGTGGCTAGACGGCAAGCCCATATTTCTATACTTTATATCTCTTGGTCTCTCTTCTCTTTGATAGACCTGCCAGAGTGGGAAGAAGAGACACAGCCAGAAGAGTTACATAAAAATATTTTCTGGAAGGTAAGAGCAATGCTCTCCTTGGAAGGAATACTTCTATCGTTGTGGCTCAAACTGCAGCCCGTGTTGTAAATAACATTTTTTCTCTTGACTGCTCAATGTGTATCACATTCAGCCTTCTATTAAAACTGTTTGCTGCATCTGTCTGCCTCAACCAGTAGGTTGTAAGGTCTTTGTAGGCAGAAGCTCTGTCTTATTTATTGTTGTATTCCTTACAACCCCTAGCTGAAGCCTTCATATCACAGGATCAATCTTCTCTTTTTTTTTTTCTTGCTTTCTTCTTTATGGAAAAGCTGTGAATTTCCTTCAATAAACATAATACAATTATTTCTTCTATAATTTCTACACATTAGGTCTTAAGCTTTGTTCTCGAATTGTCCTTAAAATCTACCTATGTACTTCAAATAATACAAATTACCTCATACCCATTCTAGAATGTTTGTTAATCTCATTTCTATTTACCAAAAATAAACTTTCTTTTCCAGTGAAGTAAAATTCTAACTTCTTAGCCATGAATTTTATATTCCATCTTTTAAAATGCTGCTTGTTTTCTAAAAGTTTAAAAAGGGAAGACTTAGAAACAACCCTAGATGAATTTTTTGTTATATGACATATGATCTCTATTATAACATATCTTATTACAACATTTGGTCACTAATTATTCTTTTATCTTACACTTATAGCTGGTGAATCCCATCAAACAGACCAGCATGATTGTAGATATTGTTTTTTCCTTTGAATTTGGGGGTTAACTGGCCTATTTGACTGAAACAGCTTGTTGAAACCAGTCATTTTTAAGAGGAAGCTTACGAAGTAGATTCAGAGCAAGGCTTCTCCAACCAAAGACTCTTCATGCAGCTTTGTGAATATTTTACTACATAAATCTAACATTATTTTCTTTTCAATTGATCCTTTACTTTTTTAAGAATTTTGACAATCACTGTCAGCAATGGATATTAATAACTTCCCACTCACTCTTTCTGTACTTAAAAAAAAACAATGTATCTTCAGAGATACAGGTGAGCTACATAAATATTAACAAAAGTGGTTTTGGGGGCTTACAGCAGAGTAAACATAACTCCTGCCTGACTTGTGGCAAATGCGTCTTTTGGAGTTATGAGTGCAAGGTTACCTTTAGTCTTCAATCATTGTGTATTAGCCTAGTTTTCACCTGTAGGGAGCATTCTCCTCCTCCTCTGTGCACGGTTGCGGTGGAACTCTGTGGGCATCCCTCTGAGCCTTTGCTGGTGCTCTGCACACGCTATTAATTACATGAAAAATATTATTACAGCATTTTTAAAAACCTATCAAGCAGCTAATATTTTCCGCCCACCCACATTTACCACAAGCAATTTTGCTTCCACTTACCTGCCTGCCACTCATTTCATTAGTTTAAGAGAATGTTCGTTTGTGCTTAGAGACCAGTAGATTTCGAGATGGCACAGAGCCACAGTCATTCCACCTGAAAGGAATGTGTGCAGAAGCAAATATAAGAGAAGCAGTTGTGTCATTGCTCCTGTTAGTAAGCAGTGGATTTCTTGTAAAGTTTTTTTTTTGTTCGTTTGTTTGTTTTTTTAAAAAAAGGAAGAAAAACCGGCCAGGCATGGTGGCTCTAGCCTGTAATCCCAGCACTTTGGGAGGCTGAGGCAGGTGGATTACCTGAGGTCAGGAGTTCGAGACCAGCCTGGCCAATATGGTGAAACCCCGGGCCTACTAAAAATACAAAAAACTAGTTGGGTGTGGTGGCAGACGATGCCTGTAATCCCAGCTACTCGGGAGCCTGAGGCAGGAGAATCGCTTGAACCTGAGAGGCAGATGTTGCAGTGAGCTGAGATTGCACCACTGCACTCCAGCCTGGGCAACAAGAGCTAAGCTCTGTCTCAAAAAAGGACAAAAAAAAAAAAAAAAGGAAGAAAATAAATGTAAAGAAGAGAAAGCAACATTCTCTACCTGTTTAGAGGTAGAGAAACACAGGTGGTGAGAGAGGTACATCTGATAAATTATAAAAGAAATAAAAGGGATACAGAAACTTGTGATTCAAGTGGGATTTATTTATATTCTGCTGCCTTAGTAGTGGATGGCTTCCTGATTTCTCTTTTTACCTTTCACTAGGTATTTAGCATATACATATTTTATGACTTAGTTTCAGCAATAGAACACTGATACTAATTTGAAGATGCTGCTGGGTGTAATTTCTTTCATGTAATGCCTCATATTCAAGAAACATAGGATCTTATTGGTCTCTCTCTATTCCTATGACCCTTCTAATGAAACAATCCAATTATCTTAGCATTAATCTGATCGATCGTTATGGAATGGTTTGTTAATCTGTTTGGTCAAGTCTAACATGCCAATTAGAAGTTTTTGGGTAAGGCATAGAAATAATACAAGTAATTGTTACAGGTTTTAGATATACCAGCTGTCTTACTCCTAAAGTCTGGCAAATCACATAAATCCACCCTTCCCTACCACCCATATTTTGTGAAGGTCTAGGCAATGCGGTGGCTCAGGAAGATAATGTGGGATGGGAGGGAATGTGTGTCATTGATAAGGAAGACTGAGAAAATATTATTAAATGTCCAAATCAATAGCCCTTCTCTTTTGTACATAGCATCATTCCTTAATCCTGACCACTTTTATTGTAGTAAAGCAGAGAGGATGACGACCCTTAAGAGCACAGAGTTTAACAATCATTTGTGAATTCCCAGCTCCTAGTACAAACCAGCTACTAAATAAATGAATAAAAATGCATTACTTCTGAGGCACTTCCTCCATACCTTCTTGGGGACCACATGCCAGGACTACTTTAATCCTTAGATGCTTTCCTCCATGCTCACTGAGACCTTTTATTCATTCATGTAAATATATCTATGGGGAGGACACTGAGTGACCCTGAGTGGCACAAAGAACCACTGAGAATGGATGGCCATTAAAAGTAATCAGTGTCAAAAGACTATACCTATGCTTGGAAAAAATACACTGATTCTCATTGCCTATCAATCTTGGCCTTCATTTTCATGAAAAGTTGATTAGTCTTAAAAAAGAGGTGCTTTTTGACAGAAGTCACATGTTGATTCATATATTGGCTGTAGGCAATCCAGTCTCTCCTTGCTCAGTTTGGTAGGGAAACAAAAAGTTACTTCCTATGTTTGTTGGCCACATGTATGTTTTCTTTTGAGAAGTGTCTGTTTATGTTATTTGCCCACTTTTGAATGAGATTTTTTTTTTCTTGTAAGTTTGTTTAAGTTCCTTATAGACTCTGGATATTAGACTTTTGTGAGATGGATAGACTGCAAAAATTTTCTCTCATTCTGTAGGTTATTTGTTCATTCTGATGATAGTTTCTTTTGCTGTGCAGAAGTTCTTTTTTTTTTTTTTTTTTTTTTTTTTATTATACTCTAAGTTTTAGGGTACATGTGCACATTGTGCAGGTTAGTTACATATGTATACATGTGCCATGCTGGTGCGCTGCACCCACTAATGTGTCATCTAGCATTAGGTATATCTCCCAATGCTATCCCTCCCCCCTCCCCCGACCCCACCACAGTCCCCAGAGTGTGATATTCCCCTTCCTGTGTCCATGTGATCTCATTGTTCAATTCCCACGTATGAGTGAGAATATGCGGTGTTTGGTTTTTTGTTCTTGCGATAGTTTACTGAGAATGATGGTTTCCAATTTCATACATGTCCCTACAAAGGATATGAACTCATCATTTTTTATGGCTGCATAGTATTCCATGGTGTATATGTGCCACATTTTCTTAATCCAGTCTATCATTGTTGGACATTTGGGTTGGTTCCAAGTCTTTGCTATTGTGAATAGTGCCGCAATAAACATACGTGTGCATGTGTCTTTATAGCAGCATGATTTATACTCATTTGGGTATATACCCAGTAATGGGATGGCTGGGTCAAATGGTATTTCTAGTTCTAGATCCCTGAGGAATCACCACACTGACTTCCACAATGGTTGAACTAGTTTACAGTCCCACCAACAGTGTAAAAGTGTTCCTATTTCTCCGCATCCTCTCCAGCACCTGTTGTTTCCTGACTTTTTAATGATTGCCATTCTAACTGGTGTGAGATGATATCTCATAGTGGTTTTGATTTGCATTTCTCTGATGGCCAGTGATGATGAGCATTTCTTCTGTGTTTTTTGGCTGCATAAATGTCTTCTTTTGAGAAGTGTCTGTTCATGTCCTTCGCCCACTTTTTGATGGGGTTGTTTGTTTTTTTCTTGTAAATTTGTTTGAGTTCATTGTAGATTCTGGATATTAGCCCTTTGTCAGATGAGTAGGTTGCGAAAATTTTCTCCCATGTTGTAGGTTGCCTGTTCACTCTGATGGTAGTTTCTTTTGCTGTGCAGAAGCTCTTTAGTTTAATTAGATCCCATTTGTCAATTTTGTCTTTTGTTGCCATTGCTTTTGGTGTTTTGGACATGAAGTCCTTGCCCACGCCTATGTCCTGAATGGTAATGCCTAGGTTTTCTTCTAGGGTTTTTATGGTTTTAGGTTTAACGTTTAAATCTTTAATCCATCTTGAATTGATTTTTGTATAAGGTGTAAGGAAGGGATCCAGTTTCAGCTTTCTACATATGGCTAGCCAGTTTTCCCAGCACCATTTATTAAATAGGGAATCCTTTCCCCATTGCTTGTTTTTCTCAGGTTTGTCAAAGATCAGATAGTTGTAGATATGCGGCATTATTTCTGAGGGCTCTGTTCTGTTCCATTGATCTATATCTCTGTTTTGGTACCAGTACCATGCTGTTTTGGTTACTGTAGCCTTGTAGTATAGTTTGAAGTCAGGTAGTGTGATGCCTCCAGCTTTGTTCTTTTGGCTTAGGATTGACTTGGCAATGCGGGCTCTTTTTTGGTTCCATATGAACTTTAAAGTAGTTTTTTCCAATTCTGTGAAGAAAGTCATTGGTAGCTTGATGGGGATGGCAGTGAATCTGTAAATTACCTTGGGCAGTATGGCCATTTTCACGATATTGATTCTTCCTACCCATGAGCATGGAATGTTCTTCCATTTGTTTGTCTCCTCTTTTATTTCCTTGAGCAGTGGTTTGTAGTTCTCCTTGAAGAGGTCCTTCACATCCCTTGTAAGTTGGATTCCTAGGTATTTTATTCTCTTTGAAGCAATTGTGAATGGGAGTTCACCCATGATTTGGCTCTCTGTTTGTCTGTTGTTGGTGTATAAGAATGCTTGTGATTTTTGTACACTGATTTTGTATCCTGAGACTTTGCTGAAGTTGCTTATCAGCTTAAGGAGATTTTGGGCTGAGACAATGGGGTTTTCTAGATAAACAATCATGTCGTCTGCAAACAGGGACAATTTGACTTCCTCTTTTCCTAATTGAATACCCTTTATTTCCTTCTCCTGCCTGATTGCCCTGGCCAGAACTTCCAACACTATGTTGAATAGGAGCGGTGAGAGAGGGCATCCCTGTCTTGTGCCGGTTTTCAAAGGGAATGCTTCCAGTTTTTGCCCATTCAGTATGATATTGGCTGTGGGTTTGTCATAGATAGCTCTTATTATTTTGAAATACGTCCCATCAATACCTAATTTATTGAGAGTTTTTAGCATGAAGGGTTGTTGAATTTTTTCAAAGGCCTTTTCTGCATCTATTGAGATAATCATGTGGTTTTTGTCTTTGGTTCTGTTTATATGCTGGATTACATTTATTGATTTGCGTATATTGAACCAGCCTTGCATCCCAGGGATGAAGCCCACTTGATCATGGTGGATAAGCTTTTTGATGTGCTGCTGGATTCGGTTTGCCAGTATTTTATTGAGGATTTTTGCATCAATGTTCATCAAGGATATTGGTCTAAAATTCTCTTTTTTGGTTGTGTCTCTGCCCGGCTTTGGTATCAGAATGATGCTGGCCTCATAAAATGAGTTAGGGAGGATTCCCTCTTTTTCTATTGATTGGAATAGTTTCAGAAGGAATGGTACCAGTTCCTCCATGTACCTCTGGTAGAATTCGGCTGTGAATCCATCTGGTCCTGGACTCTTTTTGGTTGGTAAACTATTGATTATTGCCACAATTTCAGAGCCTGTTATTGGTCTATTCAGAGATTCAACTTCTTCCTGGTTTAGTCTTGGGAGAGTGTATGTGTCGAGGAATGTATCCATTTCTTCTAGATTTTCTAGTTTATTTGCGTAGAGGTGTTTGTAGTATTCTCTGATGGTAGTTTGTATTTCTGTGGGATCGGTGGTGATATCCCCTTTATCATTTTTTATTGTGTCTATTTGATTCTTCTCTCTTTTTTTCTTTATTAGTCTTGCTAGCGGTCTATCAATTTTGTTGATCCTTTCAAAAAACCAGCTCCTGGATTCATTGATTTTTTGAAGGGTTTTTTGTGTCTCTATTTCCTTCAGTTCTGCTCTGATTTTAGTTATTTCTTGCCTTCTGCTAGCTTTTGAATGTGTTTGCTCTTGCTTTTCTAGTTCTTTTAATTGTGATGTTAGGGTGTCAATTTTGGATCTTTCCTGCTTTCTCTTGTAGGCATTTAGTGCTATAAATTTCCCTCTACACACTGCTTTGAATGCGTCCCAGAGATTCTGGTATGTGGTGTCTTTGTTCTCGTTGGTTTCAAAGAACATCTTTATTTCTGCCTTCATTTCGTTATGTACCCAGTAGTCATTCAGGAGCAGGTTGTTCAGTTTCCAGGTAGTTGAGCGGCTTTCAGTGAGATTCTTAATCCTGAGTTCTAGTTTGATTGCACTGTGGTCTGAGAGATAGTTTGTTATAATTTCTGTTCTTTTACATTTGCTGAGGAGAGCTTTACTTCCAACTATGTGGTCAATTTTGGAATAGGTGTGGTGTGGTGCTGAAAAAAATGTATATTCTGTTGATTTGGGGTGGAGAGTTCTGTAGATGTCTATTAGGTCTGCTTGGTGCAGAGCTGAGTTCAATTCCTGGGTATCCTTGTTGACTTTCTGTCTCGTTGATCTGTCTAATGTTGACAGTGGGGTGTTAAAGTCTCCCATTATTAATGTGTGGGAGTCTAAGTCTCTTTGTAGGTCACTCAGGACTTGCTTTATGAATCTGGGTGCTCCTGTATTGGGTGCATAAATATTTAGGATAGTTAGCTCCTCTTGTTGAATTGATCCCTTTACCATTATGTAATGGCCTTCTTTGTCTCTTTTGATCTTTGTTGGTTTAAAGTCTGTTTTATCAGAGACTAGGATTGCAACCCCTGCCTTTTTTTGTTTTCCATTGGCTTGGTAGATCTTCCTCCATCCTTTTATTTTGAGCCTATGTGTGTCTCTGCACGTGAGATGGGTTTCCTGAATACAGCACACTGATGGGTCTTGACTCTTTATCCAACTTGCCAGTCTGTGTCTTTTAATTGCAGAATTTAGTCCATTTATATTTAAAGTTAATATTGTTATGTGTGAATTTGATCCTGTCATTATGATGTTAGCTGGTGATTTTGCTCATTAGTTGATGCAGTTTCTTCCTAGTCTCGATGGTCTTTACATTTTGGCATGATTTTGCAGCGGCTGGTACCGGTTGTTCCTTTCCATGTTTAGCGCTTCCTTCAGGAGCTCTTTTAGGGCAGGCCTGGTGGTGACAAAATCTCTCAACATTTGCTTGTCTATAAAGTATTTTATTTCTCCTTCACTTATGAAGCTTAGTTTGGCTGGATATGAAATTCTGGGTTGAAAATTCTTTTCTTTAAGAATGTTGAATATTGGCCCCCACTCTCTTCTGGCTTGTAGGGTTTCTGCCAAGAGATCCGCTGTTAGTCTGATGGGCTTTCCTTTGAGGGTAACCCGACCTTTCTCTCTGGCTGCCCTTAACATTTTTTCCTTCATTTCAACTTTGGTGAATCTGACAATTATGTGTCTTGGAGTTGCTCTTCTCGAGGAGTATCTTTGTGGCGTTCTCTGTATTTCCTGAATCTGAACGTTGGCCTGCCTTGCTAGATTGGGGAAGTTCTCCTGGATAATATCCTGCAGAGTGTTTTCCAACTTGGTTCCATTCTCCACATCACTTTCAGGTACACCAATCAGACGTAGATTTGGTCTTTTCACATAGTCCCATATTTCTTGGAGGCTTTGCTCATTTCTTTTTATTCTTTTTTCTCTAAACTTCCCTTCTCGCTTCATTTCATTCATTTCATCTTCCATTGCTGATACCCTTTCTTCCAGTTGATCGCATCGGCTCCTGAGGCTTCTGCATTCTTCACGTAGTTCTTGAGCCTTGGTTTTCAGCTCCATCAGCTCCTTTAAGCACTTCTCTGTATTGGTTATTCTAGTTATACATTCTTCTAAATTTTTTTCAAAGTTTTCAACTTCTTTGCCTTTGGTTTGAATGTCCTCCCGTAGCTCAGAGTAATTTGATCGTCTGAAGCCTTCTTCTCTCAGCTCGTCAAAATCATTCTCCATCCAGCTTTGTTCTGTTGCTGGTGAGGAACTGCGTTCCTTTGGAGGAGGAGAGGCGCTCTGCGTTTTAGAGTTTCCAGTTTTTCTGTTCTGTTTTTTCCCCATCTTTGTGGTTTTATCTACTTTTGGTCTTTGATGATGGTGATGTACAGATGGGTTTTCGGTGTAGATGTCCTTTCTGGTTGTTAGTTTTCCTTCTAACAGACAGGACCCTCAGCTGCAGGTCTGTTGGAATACCCTGCCGTGTGAGGTGTCAGTGTGCCCCTGCTGGGGGGTGCCTCCCAGTTAGGCTGCTCGGGGGTCAGGAGTCAGGGACCCACTTGAGGAGGCAGTCTGCCCGTTCTCAGATCTCCAGCTGCGTGCTGGGAGAACCACTGCTCTCTTCAAAGCTGTCAGACAGGGACACTTAAGTCTGCAGAGGTTACTGCTGTCTTTTTGTTTGTCTGTGCCCTGCCCCCAGAGGTGGAGCCTACAGAGGCAGGCAGGCCTCCTTGAGCTGTGGTGGGCTCCACCCAGTTCGAGCTTCCCGGCTGCTTTGTTTACCTAAGCAAGCCTGGGCAATGGCGGGCGCCCCTCCCCCAGCCTCGTTGCCGCCTTGCAGTTTGATCTCAGACTGCTGTGCTAGCAATCAGCGAGATTCCGTGGGCGTAGGACCCTCCGAGCCAGGTGTGGGATATAGTCTCGTGGTGCGCCGTTTCTTAATCCGGTCTGAAAAGCGCAATATTCGGGTGGGAGTGACCCGATTTTCCAGGTGCGTCCGTCACCCCTTTCTTTGACTCGGAAAGGGAACTCCCTGACCCCTTGCGCTTCCCAGTTGAGGCAATGCCTCGCCCTGCTTCGGCTCGCGCACGGTGCGCACACACACTGGCCTGCGCCCACTGTCTGGCACTCCCTAGTGAGATGAACCCAGTACCTCAGATGGAAATGCAGAAATCACCGTCTTCTGCGTCGCTCACGCTGGGAGCTGTAGACCGGAGCTGTTCCTATTCGGCCATCTTGGCTCCTCCAGAAGTTCTTTAATTAGATCCCATTTGTCAATTTTTGCTTTTGTTGCAATTGCTTTTGGCATCTTCATCACGAAACATTTGCCTGTGCCTATGTCTTGACTGGTATTGCCTAGATTTTCTTATAGGATTTTTATAGTTTTGAGTTTCACATTTTAGTCTTTAATCCATCTTGAGTTATTTTTGAATATGGTATAAGGAAGGGGCCCAGTTTCAATTTTCTGCATATGGCTAGAAAATGGTGCAGTTCTATTAGCACCATTTATTAAATACAGACTCCTTTCTCCATTGCTTAGTTTTGACAGGTTTGTCAAAGATCTGTGTAGCAAACCACCATGACATATGTTTACCACCATGGCACATGCTTACCTATGTAACAAACCTGTACAACCTGCACATGTACCCCTGAACTTAAAAATAAAATAAAAATAAAAAGTTTACTCCAATTAAACTGCAGGTTGTTGTCCAGGGTAATATGAGTCAAGTTTCCTAAAAAGCTACTTAATGCATAGGCTATGCAACATTTACACATTGGAACCAGCTACGCTTCTGACATCCAGTCGGTTTTACCAAGATGTCTATGGTTGGTCTGGATATGATTCCATACTGCTTTGTTGGAGAGAGGCCAAGCCTATGCATTTTTTTATCATCATCATTTGAAAAGTTTCAGCATCTTGATCTTATTTGAACACTTTTTGAGTTGGTATCACATACAAAACTTATATTTTTTCACTACCTGCTAACTCAAGGGAAAATATTTCCTTATTGATTGATGGACTGATTAATTAAAAATATATTATACACATAGTACAAATGTATTTTATCTTAGAAAAGACTCAACCAAAAAGTAGTATGTATCATAAACTCTGTTCTCAATAAGTTTAATAAATAATTTTAAACATAATATTTTATAGTAACCACATATAGAAAGGTCAAATCAAGAAAACTTTTCTTTCGTAGAAACTAGGTTTAGTGTAGTTTAGTATGACAAAAATAACCCACAGATTTTATACGTGGTGAAGATGTCAAAGGCAAATAGGCCCACATTTAAATGCAATCCAAAGTTTATAACTGCAAATAACTATTTCTTTGTACTCTATATTATTACAAAAACACTTTTTGATGGAGAATAATTACCAAATACATGTTTGTTCTATTAACAATTTTTAGCTTTCTATTTGTACATATTACCATTTTAAAAATGTTATTAAAACCAGTAGTATCTTTCATTAAGATATGATATTTGAGTGACTCACATTTTTGTACTTTATGGTACAAATGATTCAGTCAGCATTTCTGTGTAGAAACAAGTATGCATAAAGAGATAGAATGTCTTTCATCTAGTAAATCAGTCATATTAAAGTGAAAAAAGCATTTCGATCGGTGGATTTTATTATTAAACTCTAGTAATGAGTATATTTAACAGATTTTCATTGTTTTAAAAAATTGCTATCAGATGTAACTTTGCATAACAAAGCTTTTCTTCCGTCCAAGTGTGGGGAGGGGTTTATGCTTCTAGGTCATTCCTTTTTGTATGCATTCGCATCTGAGGTCACTAACCTCAGATGCAGTGTTCCCAAGGCATCTAGACTATTGTCATCCAGCAACTCCCCTATATCCATATATCCTCAAACTATATTACTATATACTGTATATTACTATATTGCTCACTACTGAAGTCCAGCAAACACCTCCATTGAGGAAAAAATGAAGAATAAATTCTTGTGTTGCCTTTCTAAGAGGGCTCTGGTGTTTTTGGCCTGCTAGAATTCTTTTCCCTCCTTCCAGTAAAAGCAATTAGCTTTTTCTTTGGGGAACAGACACTGCTATGTTCTACCTGGTGACATTCTGCCTGTCAACCATGAAGCATTCTCTATCTAGATTAAGGCGGTTAGACTAAACATACTTTCCCAGCAGTTTGAATACAAAGCACTCTCATGCAAGGATAGAAAGTAATTGGAACTCATGTATCATAAGGAGGAAACCCAAAGAGATTCTTCATGAGTTTCTGCCTCCAAGTTTCCTAAAGTTTCCTGGTGTTTTACTTTCCTAAGACCTAGGTGTTCAACCTCTTTTTTTTTTTTTTTAATTCTGTGTTTTACTTTGTTTGCGAAAACAAGTCAGTTTTATTGTTTTCCTTATGTAAGCCCCAGGGAAGATTTTCTGTTGCTTTCAATGAAGAGTGAACTGATGTAAATTCTTTTTAGACTCTTCCTTTTAGGGTTTATTTATTATTTACTTATATTAGCTTTGGAACAAGATAATTGGGCTCAATGGTTGTAAACCTTACCTAAAACCTATGCAGCATATATATAAAATGTGTCTCAAAATAAACTTTTCAATTTGCATGTTAGATCATCTCTTTGAGGAGTGTACTCTGTATTTGAACTTTTTTTATTGTCTTAAAATGTACTGGGTAGATAATATTTTGCAATCCTCTATACCTAGTATTCTGGGAATAATTTAGTTACCATGTGCGAGGTTTTAAATTATATTATTTAATTAGCGTTTAAACCTACAGATGTCATCTGTACATGCTTTGGAATAACCTCAGCAAGATTCTGCATTGCCTTTTTTAAACTTGAGGAGACTTTGGGAGTCTTCAACAATTTCACAAAAGATTCCTATTTCTCAAAGAAAATTCTGGTCATTTACTTTTCAGGGCAAATGTTAGAAATAATTACTTTTTAATAAAACAGCGTTTTCATTTAATTACATAGATATTAATTAAATGAGTGAATTCTGGTTTTCACTCATTATAAAATTATAGTTTTTTCACATTGACTCTAAAAAGTAATACTGGGGTAGTCGTACCTGGTAATCTTGTTTGGCAATTCAATGATCTTGCTATAAGGTAAAATAAGGACCTAAGTGTTGATTAGGTCTATCATCATAAGCAACTGACTTCCTAGCCGGGCGCGATGGCTCACGCTTGTAATCCCAGCACTTTGGGAGGCCGAGGCGGGTGGATCACGAGGTCAGGAGATCGAGACCATCCTGGCTAACACGGTGAAACCCCGTCTCTACTAAAAATACAAAAAATTAGCCAGGCGTGGTGGCGGGCGCCTGTAGTCCCAGCTACTCGGGAGGCTGAGGCAGGAGAATGGCGTGAACCCAGGAGGCGGAGCTTGCAGTGAGCCGAGATGGCGCCACTGCACTCCAGCCTGGGCCACAGAGCGAGACTCCGTCTCAAAAAACAAAAAAAAAGAAAGAAACTGACTTCCTATAGAAAAATAATTTTAAGTGAGATTTCTTTTTAATTAAAAAATGATTATGGATACATAGTAGGTGTATATATTAATGGGGTATATTAGATATTTTTTACAGGCATATGATGTTACTAATCACAACAGAGAAAAATGTGTTTTCTATCACCTTAAGCATTCATCATTTCTTTGTGTCACAAACATTCCAATTGTACTCTCTCAGTTATTCTAAAATGTACAACAGATTACTGCTAACTAGTTACCCTGTTGTGCTATCAAATACTAGGTCTTATTCATTGTATATAACTATATTTTGTACCTATTAGCCTTCCCCATTTCCCACCACCCACTCCCACCACCTCCATTCTTCCAAACCTCTGGTAACCATCATTCTATTCTCTATCTCCGTGAGTTCAATTGTTTTAATTTTTAATTCCCACAAATGAGTGAGAACATGTGAAGTTTTTCTTTCTGTGCCTGGCTTACTTCACTTAACAATGTCTTTCAGTTCCATCCATGTTGTTACAGAGACAGGATTTCTTTTTTATGGCTGCATAGTACTCCATTGTATATAATATGTACATCTTCTTTATCTACTTGTCTGTTGATGGACACTTAGATTGCTTGCAAATCTTGACTATTGTGAATAGCGCTGTAATAAACATTGAAATGCAGTTATCTCTTCTATGAAACACTGATTTCCTTTGTTTTGGGTATATAGCTAGCAGTGGGATTGCTTGATCATATGGTAATTCTATTTTTAGTTTTTTGAGGAACCTCTGAACTATTCTCCATAGTGGCTGTACTAATTTACATTCTCACCAACAGTCTATCATGGCTCCCCTTTCTCCATATCCTTGCCAGAATTTGCTATTGCCTGTGTTTTGGATAAAAGCCATTTTAACTGGAATGAAATGATATCTCATTGTAGTTTTGATTTGCATTTTTCCTTATGATTAATGATGTTGAACACCTTTTTATATACTTGTCTGCCATTTGTATGTTTTCTTTGGGAAATGTCCATTCAGATCTTTTGCCCATTATTATTAGATTTTTTCCTGTAGAGTTATTTGAGCTCCTTGTATATTCTGGTTATAATCCCTTATCAGATGGATAGTTCGCAAATATTTTCTTCCATTCTGTGGGTTTTCTCTTCATTTTGTGGATTGTTTCCTTTGCTATGCAGAAGCCTTTGCACTTGATGTGATCCATTTGCCTATTTTTGCTTTAGTTGCCTGTGCTTTTGGAGTATTACTCAAGAAATTTTTGCCCAAGCCAATGTTGTGGAGAGTTTATCCAATGTTTTCTTTAGTAATTTCATAGTTTCAGGTCTCACATTTAAATCTTTAACCCATCTGATTTTGATTTTTGTATATGGTGAGAGACAGGTGTCAAGTCTCATTCTTCTATATATGGATATCCAGTTTTCTCAGGACCATTTATTGAAGAGATTGTCTTTTTCCCAATGTATGTTCTTTGCACTTTTGTCAAATAAATAAGACATTTTTATACAGTAATTCCCAATCAGCAGGCATGCTTATTTTTTTAAGAAAAGAATTATCTTGAAAATGTGAAGCAGACTGTATAAATTGGCTTGCTGTTTTTTTCCTTACTGCAGATATTACTCAAATCTTAAAACTCAGAATATTTATGCACATATAAATGTGAAAAACAAATATATATATATGGTAAAGAACAAGTTAATGTTATGTCATCGATTTTATTTTATAGAATCAATAGCTAATACAATGAGCTACTTATTTGAATCACTGTTGAAGCCAGTTATGTATTATTATGTAATAAACAAACAGCATCTATAATGGAATGTTGGAGAATCAGTCATGCCATTTGATATACATGTTGTGTTCATCTCAGTCTTCTAAATTCCCTCTTCCTCAAGAAAATATAACACACATGCACACACACACACACACACACACACACACACACATATATACACCCAGAGAGAGAGACAGAGAGCTTTTTATGTAGTTTTAAAGTCTTTGATTACTTTCTCTGTATTTCCCTCTGGAAGTACAAAACCATTGATGATACCCCAGTGTCTATCCTGGTCCTATTACTTCCTTTTGAGTATGCATAGGTAGTAGATATATGTTTAGTCTTTCCTCTGGCAGATTATAAGGCAACCTACCATAAAACATTGCATTTGCATGCAATGCCCAAGTCAGCTTTAAACTTGAAGGATCTCCTTCATCTCTGTGAGCTGTAAAATTTTATAATTGTGTGATTCTAGCTATGAGGAAATATTTAAGCTTCTTCATTGCCAAGGGAAAGCCACTGGGACTATGATTCTGCAAATTCAACAAAGACTAACTCACAACAATGTTTTGGTAATTGCCAGAGCCATGTCTCCAATAGCAGTAGAGACAGTGAAGGCTGAAATGACAAGGCCTGAACTAAGTAAGGTGTTTGTAACAAGGTGGTTATAAATAGCAGTACACATGAAGAGGCAGGTAGCATCAATAAGGTGTGGAGTTTGCATAGAAGTGTCTGACCTTGGGAATACCTGCTTTGGATTTTGATTCAGCGATGTCTTGGAAAGAACCGAGGGTATATGGCTGGAACACTGGAAAAGACAGGACAATCAGTTAAAGTCAGATCTGGGTATGAGGGTTAAGCAAGACCAACTATTCTATTAGCTAACAGCTTTTTAAATATCCCCTGATCAGAATTAAAAGTCCATGTTGGCATTAAGTGACTCCAGCTTCAAGGGTGAAAAGGAAAATGTGGGAAGGGTTTTAGCAGATCCTGATAATACTGTCTTCAGTCAAACTCTATTAGTAATGCTCATAGCTGTCAAGTTCAGAATAAAATTTTTTACAAAACCATTGAATGGAAAGGCAATTGGGAAATCTTAGAAGCTCTCCTACAATGATTTTTATGAACTTTATTTTAATTGAATCATTAAGTTAACACATACAAACGACTATTTCCTGAAGTAGGTTAATAATTTATAGTCCAGTGTTTGTGTCAACGTGCTCATATATGTAAACTTTCAGTGGAAATTATAAAATCAATGCATTTCATTATATTAAAATATGGGATGGAAAATGAATTGTTTGATTTTATTATATAATATCCCTATACTCTTTGCCTCTTCTCTCCATTTTTTTGTATTGTCACTGGCCTAGATAGTTCTGGAAAGAGGTTTGTACTATCCTAATTTTGAAGATTCATATGTAACATTTCAATTCGGTACAGAATTATGGAGTGTACTCTGCACGTACTGGATTATCTGGGTAGGAGGATGTAGAGGAACCCAAATTAGGTGGGAAGACAGGATCTCTGTCTTCAAGAAGTGCATGGTCCTTTTAAAAAACATAACTTTTGCATACGAAGTAATTAAATAACAATACCAAGGCAGTTTATAATAAAGTTCTAAATTAAATATTATCAAGTACTATAATTATATGGTTCCAACTATAACTCTTGTGCAGAACTAGCCAGAGTTAATTGATCATTTTGAGTAATTCACTAAAAGAGTAGACGAATAAAATTTATCTTTGTCTAAATTTTCCCAGTTAGGTCACCTAACCCTTTTTATAACTTCGTCATATTTCTAGGCATGCAGTATTATTAACCCTCATTTCCTCTTGGTTTGCCTGCAGCTGTATCTCTGTCTCATGAACCTAATGTCTTTGTTTAAGCATACCACCCTGATTATCCAGAGGTCAGATCCTAGCTAATCACTTCCACCCAGAACATGTCTTTGAACACAAGAACAAATGAGAAAACTCTAAGGGTACAGAGCCCAGCTGAATGAGTTGTAGAGGAAGCTGACCTGTATTTAGAATCTTAACGAAGTTAGGTATGAAATTCTACATTTTAGAAAAAGAAGCAAACATCTCTTTGTTCAGACAACCAATGACACAGGGAACAAACTATACAGCTATAAACTTTGGACAAGTGTTTGAGCCTTTTCACATTGAGGCAAATAACCCTATATAAATATGCAAGACACCCCAAAAAAGTCATTATTATACAATGCAGCAAGTGCTTGTTGAAGTGAAATACATATGAATTAAAGAAAGTGATTGATATATTTTATAATTAGTTACAAGAAAAACTTTAAACAAAAGCATGTTTTTTAAGATTAACGAGATAACTTTCAGTTATTTGAATGTTTTACTTTGAGGTACATCACATTCTCTGGAGAGACTAGGTAAAAGAACTATTACTGTGTATCTAACAGAGACTATTTCCACATTAGAGCACAAAACTTCAAAGGAGATTTATTTAACGACCCATCATTAGACTCAGTTTTCTCCCTAGCTGACAGTATAAAGTAAATGAGGTTGGCTTGCCTTTCCTCAGTTCTTCTGTCTCTACTTGTGACTTCTCTTGCTGCCTTCAGTTTCTCTTTGCACTACTGACCATATGAGGTCCCTTAGGGCTCATGTAAGTTAGGGTTGAATGGCAAGATCCCATGCTCTGAATCTATCTCATTGTCTTTTTCCTCAACCCAACTCTTTCATAGTATGTACTTTAGAACTTTGCTCTCCGCTGGCTGCCATGATAAACTAATTCCACATCAATGATGATCAGGTATTCGTGGAGTGATGTGTGGATTTTAAAGATTCCCTTTGTGTTGACTACCCTAGTGGTGGAAACGTCAGAGAAGTCATGGAATCATTTTATAAGAAGTGGAACTTTCTGCTTAAACACCTAGAGTTGGTGTCTCCTTCCACTGCCTGTACATACGGTGAAGCGGTGAACCTTTTAACCAAACTGTGGAGCTGATGAAGAAGCATGACACAATATTTGAAGGGTTAACTAAACTTTCCTCTGACATTCTAAGTGCTATTTTACACACTTTGTTCACTGAAAGAGGATGATATATATCCACATGTTGGGGATATTAATACATTGAAATAAGGAGTTAGTTGATATTTGTCCCTGAGAAGCAATGAGATATACTTTTGTTTGGTTTCTAGTTGAATATTTCCTTGAACTTCGTTGAAGATTTCCAGACTTCCAAATGTATTTATTCACATTACGTGTGAGCCAGCTAGTTTGAAGGGAATGATACTGGATAGCAAAAGAATCTTTCACATTTCAGCTGCATTCCAGATAAACAGACAACAGTTTCTAGGGCTATGCTTCTATTCATTTAATTAGTTCATCACCGCCATCCATTCTGTAGTTTCCAGTGGAGTATTCTTATAATTATTGGGAAGAGTCTGTTTAGTCCAGGCTGATGAGCTCTTACTGTATTGAGTTGACAAGGAATATAATTACACGTAATGTGAGAGCTCAGAATGTATGGGTACATATGTGAATATGCTGCTGACTCTGGAAAATTCTTCAGAATCCCTTTCCAACATACCCATGGTGAACTCTCCTGCCATTCCCCTGTCAGGTTCCAAAGCTACTTCTCCGTTACTCAGAGACTAATGCTGCTGAGGTGTCCTCATTCTGTATCTTCTCCCTTCACATGTCTAGCTTTTGATCATTTTCCTATTTAATGGCATCTCCATTGGAAGGTAGGGTGTGGGAAATAAACAAAGAGAAATTTAAACTAATCAATGGTAGTGTATGTAGGACACAGCAGGTGCACTGCCTTCACTCTCAGCAATGCAGCTCTTTCTTCAATTCTACTCCCCCAAATCCGAACTTTTGAATCCTTCCTCCGTTATGCAAACTCTTTCAATAAACTCTCAGGCAGTTTATTGAAACTTTCAGGGCTGAAAAAAAAAGAGGTTTCTTTACAAAAAGTACCGAGGATGTTATAAAGGCAAATCCCCTGGCAAAAATGGGTATAGTCATCCCTCCTTCTCTGTGGAAGAAATGTTTCAAGACCCTCAGTGACGCCTGAAACCATGGATGATACCAAATCCACAAATTTAGTGCCTTTTCCATCTTAACCAAGCACTTATCATGCACTGTGGCACTTCATAACTTTTACAGTTTAAAGTGACAGCAAAACCAGCACGGATTTCTTTTATCCTTCTTCACAAGTTCACGGATAGAAGATTTTTTCTTACCATAGACCTTAGCAACCTCAGCATACAATTTTTCTTCTCTTATTAAGTAAAGAACTTTCACCTTTTCATGTTAAGGAAACACTTTATGGCTTCTCTTCGGCATGTTCAAATTGCTAGCATCACTACTTATGTGCCTTGGGGCCATTATTAAGTAAAAAAAAAAAAAGGTTCCTTGACATAAGCACTGTGATACCATGTTAGTTGATCTGATAACCGAGATGGCTACTAAGTGACTAATGCAGGGATGAGCAGGACAAAGGGATAATTTATGTCCCAGGCAGGACAGAACAAGATTGATCTGAGATTTTATCACCATACTCAGAATGCAGTGCAATTTGAAACTTATGAATTGCTTATTTCTAGAATTTTCCATTTAATATTTTCGAACTGCAGCTGAGAGTAACAGAAATCATGGAAAGTGAAACCACAGATAAAGGAGGACAGTCATATGGGGTACATAGTTTCAGCAATTAGTATTTGTGTGTCCTTAACCAATAGTTGTACCTCTGCAGGGCTCAGATGCCCTTATCTGCAGAATACTTAAATGGTGAAAGAATACAGTCAAATTTTACTTAGACTGACATTTATTTAGTACCTGCTATGTGCTGTGACTGGAAATTAATTCTTCTGATTCGTGGGCTCATTTCCATCCTCCACTTACTCTTTTATTTATTAGCTCTAATCCTCTTAATCAATTATTTTAATATCCAAAGTAACATATGTACAAATAAAAATGTATAAAGAAGACACTTAAAACCTCTTCCAGCTTTACATCCCCAACATGTAGCCTCCCTGAAGTAATTAAATGTAATACATTCAACAACTTGGTATATTCGCATATATTTTCCTTCCATATTCACACAAAATATACAAACATATGCACATGTTCAGAAAACATGTAAATATACTTCACCTCTTCATATCTTTCAGGATTATGCCCAAACGTCTTCTTTTTTTATTTCCCCAGAGAGACTTTTCTTCACCACCCTGTGTGAAGCTAGTATTCCCTTAACCATCGTTGCCTCATTGGAAATCCCAGGCGTGTGACTACATTGCTTTATTTTTTTCCTGTAACACTTAGCACCAGATATAATATATATTTTATTTATTCATTTATTTGTGTGTGAGAGAGTCCTCACACCTTAGAATATATTTTGTGAGGGTCAATATTTGTGTCTGTTTTGTTTACTGCTGCAACCCAATGCTATAACAGTGCCTGACAGTAAATGCTAAAAAATTATGAAGGAATATGTGAGTGTGTGTGTGTGTGTGTGAGAGAGAGAGAGAGAGTGTGTGTGTGTGTGTGTAGTTTTTTTGGGGGGGGTCATTATTCTGTTTTCTTTTTTAATTTAAAGTATGATGATACTAAGTAAATAACTGTACAGTTTGCTTCTCATATTAAAAAAATCCAGCAAGAAGAATAGACACATATCTAATATATTTTTTAAATTTTGAGATACACAATATTCCACAGTATGGACTTCACATCATACTTAATTATTCTAATATTGATGGATAGCCAGTTGTTTTCATTTTTTAAATTGAGAAACAATATAATACACTTTCAGTATTATCCTTGTGTGCTGGTGCTTTTATTTCTAAAGCATAATAATAATAGCTGTTATTGATTGCTTTTAGTGCAGAACTTTTCTAAACACTTTAAATCCACTAACTCATTTAATTTTCCCAATAGTCCTATTCATTAGATATAGATATTATCCACATTCAGTGGAATACAACTGAGGGAAGCGTAAGTAACTTGCCCAGTGTCACAGGTCTGCCGAGAAGCTAAGCCAAGATTGAAATTCCATCAGTCTGAACCAAGATACTGCTTTCCTAAAAATTATACAGATTACAAAAGTAGGATTGGCTTGTCAAAGATAATACATATTTTAAAAGTAATAGCTTTGGCCAGGTAATTTCCGAATATTAATTTTGTCACCAACTATAAATAAGAGTGTCACCAATAATAAATAAAAGTATTTGTTGCCCTTTATCCTCTTCAGGAGATTTTTGATATTATCATCTCATTTTATGATGTGTTAAATTTTTGCAGAAGTAATAGGTTAAAAGAAAAGATGTTTTGAATGCAGCTTCTAGTGAGGATTAATTCTGTGGTTGGGAATTAATACGAGTTTGTATATATTGCTTTACAGGTAAAAAATGTCTGTCACAAATGCTTTCGGTGAAATGGAAATGAAGGCTAATTTCTGGTGATTACACAGTCATGGCCTCTAAATTACTATTAAGGTTACAGGGATTTAAAAAATGCCTATTCCTAGCAATGAGGCTGTTTGTAACCACCGCTTCCCCTTCCTTCTCATAGGACAGGATGAAACAAACCTTGAATGTCAGGTGCTTTGTTAAAGAAAAAGGAAGGTAAATGCATGACAGTGAAATCAGAATGCCAAATACACTTGGGCTGTTGTTTTGGTATGGGTTCCTTATTCACTTACTCTGCCATATGAGAGGTTTTCAAGAATGCAATTACAGCTGAGTTTATTCTGACCTGGATCAAATTCATTGTACCGAGGCATGAAGAGAGTATGATCCCTTAGCAAAGGGGTCTATATTACAAACAACAGGTCGTGAATGAGAAATGAGACCAAATTTATTCAATTGTAAAATTGCCAACCTATCGTGAATAATTTCTATCCTTAGGGTGACTGTATAGTTGATGGTTCAAACTGTGAAATTTCGAGAGTGGAAGGATTGCTACCGATAATTATGCTGGAGTACCAGATATACACCGAGACCTTTCCTGGAAAGCAGAGATGTATAGTCACTCTACATACCCCAGATTTTGATTTTTTATTTTTCCCACATTGATGCTTCAAAATTTGCTTGTAAAAAAATACTGGCTAAGTGATGGGCAGTAGTATTTTTCATCTCATTCTCTTTTTATATCTGTCTTTCCTTGTCCCTCTTCCCTTTTCTCATTCGATATTTTTCTACCATGCCATATTCTTTCATTTTAAAATATAATATTTCTATTTCTGATTGATAAGAATATAAATAAAAGCAAAAGATGAGCTGAAGTTGGCTGTGGGCTTCGTGAGTTCTAGTGTGGATACACCATGAGCCATGGTCCCGTCCTCTTGGTTTTTCCTGTGCTTACCCTTTTATTTTACTGTCACGTTACCTACAATTTCTGCCTCATAGTTATTCTAAAATAGAAATTCTTGAATTCCATGAAAACAAATATATCTAAATATTTTAAAAGAAAATGGGGTGGGTTGGGGGAGAGAGAGACAGTGACTGAACTAGCTAGTACAAGAAAGAGAGCACAAGGAAGTTTATATCAGATATAAGTTATCAAATCCTTCAACCACAGTTACTATCAATTCTCTATACACACATTAAGTTGCTGCCTGACCATGTTAAATGAGACCAAAATTAATTTGCCTGTAAGTCTGGTGAGAGCCAATATTTGTTTTCTGAAGCAGTTATTTGACTGACCTACTAACCGTGAAAATACTTCTTCAAGTTAAGGGTTAGGATAGGGAAGAAGAAGCAAGTTCTGTATGCACAAGCAAAAGGTTGGCCCTCACCATCAAAGCTCCTGTCATAAAGAGTGAATAGAAGGAAGGATTGTTATTATTATGACTTTGGTTTTATTTAAGTATAAAAGTATCAGCACTTTAATGCTCAAAGTATAGCCATAAGCAAGATTAGAAAATGTACTTGCTGTATATTGTTCCAGCAACACTCTGGGTTTGCCCTACATTTGTATATAGTTGGTTTTCTGTATTAGTGTTTTATCATAGACCGAGTATCATTTGTATATTTTTCAAAATTACATAAATAAATCATTTTATCATTTTATTTATTAAGTCCAGAAACTGATTTTAGGGGTAGAGGGATGAGTTGTGCTATTTAATCTTACTCTGGCGGATAAATAAACATATGGATTCAAAGGTGTTGAGTGAGAGAAGACTCTTGATATGTTAGAAGACCACTGCTCTAGGATATGTGTAGAAACAAAACTGACACATAGGAAGTACTTAATGAATGTTTGTTGAATGAATAAATTTTCAGGCCTGCCTGAAATATCTATGTGACATGTGTCGACACATACAGCCCCTCTGGTACTCAGTATCATATTCTGAAAAATGAAGGTGTTAGACAAGGATTTCTAGCAACTGTTTTACTTCTAAAATTCTGTAATGTGGTGGTGGCTCACACCTGTAATTCCAGCACTTTGGGAGGCCAAGACGGGCAGATTGCTTGAGCTCAGGAGTTTGAGACCAGCCTGGACAACATGGTGAAACCCAGTCTCTACCAAAAATACAAAAATTAGCCAGGTGTGGTGGTGCACGTCTGTGGTCTCAGCTACTGTGGACACTGAGGCGGGAGGATCGCTTGAGCCTGGGAAGCAGAGGTTGCAGTGAACTGAGATGGTACCACTGCATTCCATCTTGGCCAACAGAATGAGACTCTGTCACAAAAAGAAAAAAAAAAAAAGATAAAACTAACCCTTAGAAAAAAAAATCATGTTTCCTGAATTCAAGAGAAAAAAATCTTATTGGGCATGTATGCTCACATAAAATTTTAAAATCTTATTAGCAGAAACATATAACAATGCAAAGCGGAATCCATCTTCTTGAAATGGAGATATGGTTATTTGCAATGAAAAAATTAGTTTATATTTTCATAAGTTCTGACTGAGGTTCTAGAGTCTAATCCTTTTAGGATATATAGTAATTTTAATAATTTGCACCCAGACACTTTAATTGGTAGAATATACCCTGGTTTCTTCCTTCATCTCATTTCAGAACAGATTCTGCCTTTAGATTATGTGCATGGCACACCGTATTTATTTCTTTACCAAGTATGGCATTCACAGTAATGGAAAACACTAGTCGGAAGCAGTCTGTAATTATTATGATTATCTCTAATTCTCTTTTCTGCTTCTCTGGGTTTTTGTTTATTTGTTTTGGTTTTGTCTTGTTTTGTTTTATCACATAAGAGCCTGAGCTTCTCTAGGCCCAGTAGCTGAACTAGCAACCGACACTGCTATATCTAATTTTAGGGAAACTTCCTGGGCTAGATATTAACAAAATATATTTTTTTCTTCTTTAGGTCAGTATAAACAAACAAATAAAACCCAAACAAATCTCAGAAGTTCTAAAAAATAACATTATTATGAAACTGGAGAAAAATAAATATCTAAAAAATAAAATTTTAAAAATCAATGAAATTATGAACAGTTTTATTACTGAATGTAACTAAGTATCCACCCAGTTGTAGTTTCTGAAATTTACTGGAGAAATACCATTCCAATGATTGCCATGTACATTAGGTAGTCATTTATCTGTTCCTTTACAGAAAAGAGAAGATTGATACACCCCAAGTCCTGAACTACAGGGCCGATATCTAGTTCCTCTCATTTCTCCAGATGACCCCTGCTCTGAGGGGTTGACAGCCCTGCAGAATTCTAATTTCTGCATTTTTACAATATTAAGTTACTTTATAACTATAGTATAATGATAATGACAACAGTAGTAATGGGAGGTTGATATCTCATACTCAGTTGCTCTGTTATGTAGCCACACATTTTCTTTCTTTAATAAATTACTAAGAATCAAACCTCTTCCTTTTTTTTGTACATTGGCTACTATTTGGTTTTAAGGAATCTTGCCTCATCAAGCAAAGCAGACAAATAGTAATCTCCATGAGAGCAGAGGGCATCCTTATTATTTTATCCACAGTCCTTCACACAGTACATAGTGCAGAATTATGTGTTCAATAAATATGTGCTAAACAAATCAAATATGTAACAGGTACACACACATACATACACACAGGGATTACAATCTATTTGCTTATATCCTAAAGGAGATCAAAACAAGTTTTAAGGAATGCCTACCGTGAATAATATAGAAATCAAAGAGTGGGATCTAAATGGATTTACAGAAACCTATCTCTTTTTCATTGATTCTTGCTGGAAACTTTGGAGTTAGTCAAACTTGGCTTTGAACCTCAGTGCTAGACTGACTAAGTAAATATTTATCCTCCCAGTTTCCTCTTCTTTAACATTAGGGTAATAATACTTAACCTCTTTGGGTTGTTGTATTGATTAAATATGCATAGAAAGCTCCTAACACATTTTGTGTCTAGATTAATGGTTGTAGAGCTTGCATGAGAATTAGAGTTGAGATCATTTGGGGTGTGATTTTTACGTGTTGGCACCAGGTGCTTTCAGATGTGACAATTAAAGGAGGTAGAGTGGAAGAGCCTAGAGGCAGGAGATTTCTTTAGTGAATAGGGTATGGTGAAGGTAGGGTTATGAGTATAATAAAATCTTTTCTGTTGAATGATTTCTGGAATCTCCTTGCAAGTTTGCATGCAATTAAATTAAAATAATGTTCTCCCCCTCATCACCCCCTTCTTCCATCTTTGGCTGTTAATCATTTATTCTGCTTTGTACTTAGATTTTTCTTACCCCAAGGCCTTAAGTGATTAACGGATTTCTGGGTTATTTGCATTTTCTTCTACAATTTCTTTCTTTCAATCTAATCTTCATATATGCCTCTTATCTGTACCAGTGTAATCACAGCAGAGTTGGGCTTTTAAGGAGAAAGTTCAGCACATTTGTGACCTAAAACTTGTAGCCAATCCATACAGCAGAGCTACTCGGCATTTGGGAAAAGGTGGTGCCATTATTCACGTGCTTCCATAGGAGCCAGGTAAGTTTTTATTTGCTTGCTTTTGGTACCCACATGATGAGCTTATTACTCTATAGTTTAATTCCTTGTATTTCATGAAAATTTTCTTTTTCCATGAATATTACCTAAATATTGTGACAAGGAGATTTTCATATATTATCCAGTTTCCCTTTTACTCAGGAATAATACATTTACAGTCTTATAGTGTTTGTAGAGTGATTCTGTAATCTGAAAACTACAAACTACCAGTTTTCTTTGAAAAAAATCATATGGTTACCCTATCTGGACATAGTTGAAATGAAGCTAGACTGTTCAGGTTTCTGTGTGTCTATGCAGTTCAGGGTGGGTGACCTGCATTCCATCTTTTGCTTATGTTGTGTTGACCTAGGCCATGCTTTTTGAAGATGAAGAAATTTATGAGATATGGCCAAAATAGTTCTTATGTTTAGCCATTAATAATCAACACAGAGACCCACGCTATCAGTGAACCAGGAATGACCTGAATCTATCATAAAGATTGCCTGTGGCCAGCAGTACAGACCATCTTATACATGGCATGATGCATTTTACTGACCATGTTTGGCTAAACTGGCTGCCTCAGGTGACTATCTTGTTTCCATTAAAGCACTTGTATTAGGAAATTACCTGAAACCTAAGAAGCTATTTTCTTTACCATTAGAATATAAATAACAAGTGGACCCTGGTGATTATTATATTGCTTCCACATTCCCCACCAATCCCTTCAGGCCAGTCAGTGGCAGATCTAGGGTGGGTTTTTACTCTGTTTGCATTGCCTACTTTCAGGGTCACAAACCTGTCCTTTCTGTAACTTAGGGGCTCTTTAGTGACCCATGTTTCACTGTGTTTGCTCTACAGCAGATGTCTGACTTTTTAAAGTTTCCCCTGAGCAAGATAACCTGTCTTTCCAAATCCATCACAAGTAGGTGCAGAAATTTCACATTTTCTTTCCACTCCAGGGATCAGAGATGGATGGTCAAGGCAGTTTTTTGTTGTTATTGTTGTTTTGTTTTTGTTTTCTATTTTTCCACTTTTGTGTGCTAACCCATTATACTTCATTACTTACTTTGTTCCTAAACTGTATCTCCTTAGTATTGTAAATACTTAACACATAATGGAACAACTATTCATCTCTCTTTCACTTTATTTCTTACATTTTCACTTTGGAAAGAATCCATCAATATTTACTCTTGAATCATGAAAATGATCCTACAGTCACTGAATTATAGAGTCATAGAAAGTTAGAGCTGAAAAGAAGCTAAGTTGTATTTCTCTTGCATCTATGCTTCCAATAGAGCATATCTTGGACCGTTGTAACTGCATGAAAATTTCCCCCATGCAGCTTCCTATGTCATAAAGCATGTCACATGCTCTTGATGTTTGAGGTTTTAATGGAAAACCCCAAATATCTATTAAATTGAGCCCATTCAATCTCTAAGACTATGCTGCAGCTATTTTCACAGCTCTGAATAGTCTAGAAGGCATTTCAAAATATAAGCTTTTTCCAACTGAAAGCTTAGGGAATGTCATTTGAAGGTCACAGGGATGATCCATATCAAAACATATTCCTCATCCGTTGAACAGAGATTTCTTTGTGGAGAAAAACAATGTTTTATCCTTTGTTCATACATTTGAGAAATGTATTAAACTGTTATCTAATATACTAGCATCTTACTATAAATTGGTTCAGATCCCCTATTTTCTTTCCTTTATTGTTTTACTTAGAAGAGGAAAGTTCCTAGAGATTGATAATCAAAAGAAAGATTTGATGTGCATTCTGGAAATAAGGATGAGGACATTCAATTTAGTCTAAAGAGTGGGGTAATGGAGATCAGTATTTAAAAAGGCACTGAAACCACAGTACACAAAATGCAATTGTTCCCAGTAACAACTCCCAACTGCTCAAGTTTCTCTACCTTGCAAGTGGGAAGAGGGTCTCTCCAGTACTTTCCAATGACATCATGGCAAATAAAGGACTATTGTTAGTATGGCTGAGGTCAGGATGTTACCTAAATCACTAACCTCACACTAAGTCTGCCCTATCCCCTCTTAGGTGCTTTCCCATGGCATTTTAATACTATTACTGTTATTTTACATTTATATAGCCCTTTTCTCTGAGGGAAATTACACCTTTCAAATGTTGACTTAGTGCTACCCCAGCCCTGTTAGTCATTGCTTATCCAGCCAATACATGTTCAGCTCCTTTAACCTTTTTCCATAAATACATCATTCCATTTCTTTCATCATTTCAGTGCTATTCTCCGTACTGAGTCCAATTTCTCAACACATTTCAAGTGTCGAGGAGCCTGATGGTACCTTAGCCGAACCAGAGTCAAGGAAGGCGGGAGTCATTTCTCTATATTTTTGCTCTGCCCCAACATAATGGATCATTGTATTCAATTCGAAATAGCATCAGCCCCTTTGGCAGCCATATCATATTGCAAACTGATATCTAATTTGTCCTCCATTATCAGCTCCAGGTCTTTTTTCAGCATTACCACTCACCAGGTTTCTCCTGTCCATTGAATTACTTTGCTCAAGATGTATTGGTTTTCATTTTTCTAGGCTGAATCTCATTTTGTGATTTTTCAAGTCATATTACTATCCTCTCTGGTCAATTTATATGACATCTGAGGAGCCTCAAAGGTGCCTGCCATACATCTTCACTTATCACCTGCAAAGTTCATTAATAAGCTATTTCTACTGTTTCCTTATCTAGGAGATCATTAAAATAATGAAAATAATCCTTCTTCCAGGTAATTTTAAAAGAGATTCAATAGAACCTGAGCTAACACTACACCACCACCACCAACAACAACAAAAAACACTTTTTAACACTATTTTTATATATAATATTAGTTTTTTTCTACTTCTTTGTAGTTTAAATTACCTAAGTTAATTTGGATTACATTCTTAATAAAGGTTTTGAGAGTTTGCTGATATTTCTATATTTTCATAGAGACTCCATTTTATCTATGCATTACTTGGAGTTGTTAAAACAAAAATCCATTTTTAAAGTGTTTAAATGTCATTACCTTAGCTATATGGAAGCCATCTGGATCCATAAAAGGATCATTTAGCTTCTCTTATCTCCATATGCCACATAAGTAATTGTATCAACTTCTTTTATAGGGGGACTGAGGATGATACATATAGAGGTCATCAGAAATGTTTTCTTCTCCTATGTTGAAAGAGCCAGAGAAAATTACAAAGAATTGCCCAACTGGATGTGGTTATGTAGTATCACTTTCAGAGAGTCTAGACACGGAGAAGTAGAAAGAGACATTTATGTGTTATAATAATTCCTAGGTTCTGAGGTTTACTGAGCAGTAAAGGCACTTTTTCTAATAGAGCCTTGGATCTGAGTTTACACACAGTATTGTTTGTAGGCTGTGTGACAGATCTATACTGATATTTTTATATGTAGATAGAAGCCATGGTTAGTAACAAAATATGTAGTTTTTTTCTAACATAAATACTACTATTATATGCATGTCTGGAGATTATTTTAATATTTAAAAATGACTCCTCATATGGGCAAATGTTGGGTTCACTGATCCGCAATAAGCATTTCAATAAAATATCTCATCTGTTTAAGGAATATGTTGGGAAGGACAGATAGTACTTTTTTCCATCTTGAGATTTGTTTGACACAATTTAGATGCATTCCATTGATTTTCCTCAATTATAAGGGGTAATAACTTTGATCTACACTGGGGTATGTAGAGATCTTTGTTATTTAGTTAGAATGGTGTCTGCAACAACACAAAAAAAGAAAACAGCAATACATATTAAATTTTCACTGTGAGAATTTATTCTCATATGTAACAGGCAACATGTCAGGCACATTCATCCACAGTGCCACTTTTAATCTTTATTACAATCTTAAGATATGCTTTTCCCTCTATTTTACATTTTAGAAAACTTGTCTTCTGAGAGCCTGCAGACTAAATTACCCAAAGTCACACACGTTTTAACAGAATGATAGGGATAATTGAGTGACAGAGCTAGAACTGGCAAATTCTCTAATCCTTGCTCTGTTCCCAATGCCTTGCAAACTTTCTAGTCATGCTGTATGTTCTACCCGTCAGCTTTTAACTGTAAAGTAACCATGTTGTTATACTCTAGACTCTGGGTCAGGAATTTGGGCAGACAGTGGAGACAGCTTGTTTCTGCTTCATGATATCTGGAAGTTCATCACTCAAGCCTGGGAGTTACTCTGTGGCTTTGAATGGCTCAGTGGTTGGTAACTGGTAATATCTGGCTGCATCTTCACTTAGATATGTGGCAGTTAATGCTAGCTCTTGGCTGGGATCTCAGCTGGGGAAGTCAGCCAAAATGCTTACAGTGACGTCTTCATGTGAAGCATGACAAAACTCAGACTTCTCATCTGGTGGCTCAAAGCTCTGAAGGAAAAGTATTTTGAGAAAATCAGGCAGAAACTCTATTGCCTTTTATGATCTAGCCTTGGAAATCACCGAGTATCACCTCCTCTGTGCTCTACCAGTCAATCATTCCCTAAGTTTAGTCCAGGTTCCAGGGGAGAGAATGCAGACCCTACTTCCCCATGGGAAAGTGTCAATTTTAAGACATGTTGAAAACCTTTACAATTCAGTATCATAATAATAAAAAAAAAAACTTCATTAGTGGCTGTGACGGTCATTCAGTGCTGCTGATTGTTTGAAATTTTTGAAGAACCCTCTTTCTTATGGCTTTGGTTTATTTACTATGGCTCTTAACCATGGCTACAAGTCATCTCTGGAAAGCACGATAAATCTATCAGTCCTGGAATCCACTTCAAATTTTCTCAAAAAAAAAAAAAATCTATATAAGGGGAGTACAGGAATATGTAGTTTCACCAAGTTCCTGGTGATTCTTAGGCAGCTGGCCTGACCTACGCACCAAGTTTTACTTACACCACTCTCTACAGATAGGGTTGTTATCAAAAGCCTGCCTGGTAAATTCCCTGGCCTCTGCTTTTAATGCACCCTGTCATTCTCATATTTTCCCTCTGCCTAGGAAAGGCACCTGAACCTTTATAAATATCACCTTTACATTTGCAAGTAGAATCCTGAGAGCTTCCTTCTTCATCTCATCCGGAATGGATGACAACACTCTAACAAAGTCTTCGCTGAAACTATCACAGCAGGAGGTGTACCAGCTTAAAGCTGTTGGTTGATAATCACTCTACTGTGAATGGTTGGGCTGGTAGCACCCAGTGATTCGATTTGAATATTTATGAGTTGATGTATTCACAGAAGTGCCACCTTGGGGTGCCACTGCAGCAGCTCCAGTCCAGTGAAAACATCTTCAAAACATCTTCAAAGAGCCTTGTCAGCTTCCTTCAGCATTCTTTTCAGGTTTAGAATTAGAGGAGAATGACAGTCCACACCTCAGAAAGAACCCTGATAAAATCTATTAACTCCTTCTCCCCTTACACATCCATCTTTTAGCTGCAGCAGCAACCAGTCCCCTCAGTGGAAATTTTATCACTACTTGAATTGAAAATAAATGAGTAAGGATTTTAGCACTACCTACCTGAATTGAAAATAAAAGAATAAAGATGCTTCTAGCTTACCTGCCTATCTGGTTTTCAGATTATGAATTTTACAAACAGATTCATCTCCACATCAAGATCGTATGTGGAGATGTCTACTACTATCCATACGTGGAATGGGAGAGAAGAGACTATAAAGGAACAGCTGGGGAGGATAAAGATATTTCTGTAGATTTGAGGCTGAAAGGGCATTTGGTAATTATCTTGATAAGGAGCAGGTCACTAAGGAAATTGTCCTGCAGTTCAATATAGAGGGTACCATATAAACCCTACAGTATTTATCCACAGGATAGGAAAGGCAAACTCAGCTTCCTAAGCTCACTAGACCACAGTCATCCTAAATTCCAATCACTTCTTCATAGCTATGTCTAGAGGAGGATAAAAGGTGACGATGAAAGAGAATCCTTTCCACAAATCTTTCACACAAGGTTTAGTGTCTTTGGAAAAGGTAGGTAAAACAAGCAAAAATCAGTGAAAGCCAAATTTAATTATTTGTAGGACTGGAATAAGGTTGTGGAGGAAAAGAAGCAAACAGGTAACATTTTCTCTTCCTTTCTATCCTCTTGGGTGTTTTCAGACTGGACCTACCTATCTATTTCTTTAAAGTGTAATTCTTAGACAACCTATATCATAATCCTTTATGGGAAAAATGAAGATGTCTGGAACCCACCTTACATCTACTGAATCAGCAACTCTGGGAGTGGGATCCTAGAATCAGAATTTGTAATGAGTTGCTCACTGACTCCATTGCATACTTGAATTGAAGAAGGACTGACCTAGCCCCTGCTATTGCTTGGATCTGGAAAGAGTGTTCCTAAATGTTTTTGTTAACATGCACCTACCTTTTCTCTGTCCTTGACTGTCAAGGAGACCCAGGGGCACTAAGAGGGTCTTTTGAAGTTTGATGTTGTTAAGTGGTTGACTTTTATAGGTAGTAAGAGTCTTCTTTGATATTAATTAATCATTGGGTCAGCAAGCATTCCAAAGGACAAAGCTAGCTAGAGTGCAACATACAGTAAAAATACTCTTTGGTTTTTGACTAAAAGTTAGAGATTATGTGCTATATCTCAACCCAGTAAAATTGCTTGTCCAAATGGCTGTTATAATTTTCCTAGCACTAGATGGAGCAATGGAGGCTGTGTAACATTCTAATCAATGTAGGGTTCGAACAGATATCAAATTATGTATTATTTTTATCCCTAGGTTTTTTATTGTGTCAAAATATATGTAACATAAAATTTCCCATTTCAAATGTGTAGTTTAGTGTACCAAATACATCATAATGTTGTGCAACAGTTACCAACATCAATCTCTGTAACATTTTTTTATATTGTAAAACTGAAACTCAATACTCAATAAACAATAACTTTCCATATTCCCTTACTTCCAGGCCCTGCAACCACCATTCTACCATCTGTCTATGATTTTGACTATTCTAAGTACCTCATAAGTTCAATCTGATAGTATGTGTCGTTTTGTGACTGATTTATTTCATTTAGCATAATTTCTTTAAGGTTCATCCATGTTGTAACATGTCAGAATTTATGCTTTTTTTCAAGACTTAATATCCATTACACACACACATATATATATGTGTGTGTGTGTGCCAAATATAGTGTATATATTAGACTTATCCATCCATTTTTTAATGAACACTTGCATTGCTTCTACATTTCAGCTGTTGTGAATAACATTACTGTGAACATGGGTATATAAATATCTCTTTGAGACTCTGCTTTCAATTATGTTGAGTTTATACCTAGAAGTGGAATTGCATTTTCATATGGTAATTCTATTTTTAATATTTCGAGGCATTGCCATACTGTTTTCCATAGCAACTATACCATTTTGCATTCTCACCAACAGTACCCAAGGGTTCCAATTTCTCCCCATCCTCACCAACATTTATTTTTCTCTTATTTTGACAGTAGCCTTCTGTTCTTTTGAGAGTAGCTATGAAGAAGTGAGTACTTTGTCAACAATGGGTGTGAGAGGGTATCTCATTGTAGTTTTTATTTGCTTTCCACTAATGATTACTGATGTTGAGCATCTTTTCACGTGCTTATTAGCCACTGCTTTGGAGAAGTGTCTATTCAGGTTCGTTGCCCATTTTTGAATCAAGATTTTTGTTTTTCTGTTTTTAAATGTTAGGTACTTTCTCCATATTCTGGATGTTAATTATTTATCAGACAGAATTGCAAGTATTTTCTACCATTCTGTAGGCTGTCTTTTGCTGATAGTGTCTTTCAATGCACAAAATTATTTTTAATTTCCAAAAGTCCACCTTGTCTTTTTTGTCTATTCTTTTGTTGCCTGTGCCTTTGGTGTCATAGCCAAGATATCATTGCCAAATCCAATGTTGTGAAGTTTTTGTCCTATGTTTTTTGCTAAGACCTTTACAATTTTATGTCTGATATTTGGGTCCTTTATTCATTTTGAGTTAATTTTTATATGATATTAGGCAAGGGTCCAATTTCATTCTTTTGCATGTGAATATCCAGATTTCTTAGCACCATTTGTTGAAGAGGCTGTTCTTTTCCCATTGCATGGTCTTGACAGCCTTGTCAAAAATTATTTGACCATATACACTGTTTACAGCTTAACAATAGTTCAACTTATAATTTTTTTACTTTATGTCAGTGTGAAAGGAAAACATCTTGAGTAGAAACTGTAAGTTCGATACCCATACTACCATTGTGTTTTTCGCTTTCAGTACAGAATTCAATAAATTACATGATATATCCAACACTTTATTATAAAACAGGATTTGTATTAAATAATTTTGCCCAACTTTAAGCTAATGTAAGTGTTCTGAGCATGCTTAAGGTAGGTTAGGCTAAGCTTTGATGTTTGGTAGTTCAGGTGTGACAAACGCATGTTTGCCTTATGATAATTTTCACGTATGATAGATTTATCAGGACATAATCCTGATGAACAGATGATAGGTTTAGCAGGTGCCCACCATAAGTTAAAGGACATCTGCATATGCAAAAGTTTCTTTCTGGGCTCTCTATTCTATTCCATTGGTTTATATGTCTGTCTATATGCCAGTGCCACACTCTTGATTACTGTAGTTGTGTAGTAATATTTGAAACCCGGAAGGGCGAGTCCTCCAGTTTTGTTTTTGTTTTTAAATATTGTTTTGACTATTTGGGATCCTTTTGATATTCCATATAAATTTTAGGATGTGTTTCTTCTATATCTGCAAAAATGACATCAGGATTTTGATAGGGATGGCATTCATTCTGTACATTGCTTTAGTTAGTATTGACATCTTAACGATATTAAATCTTTCAATCCATGAACATGACATGTGTTTTCATTTGTTTATGTCTTCTTTAATTTCTTTCAGCAAAGTTTGTTTTCATCATATATTCTTTGACTGACTCTGTTAATTGCTAAGCATTTTATTTTATGCTATTGTAAATAACATTGGTTTTGTAATTTCCTGTGTAGATTATTCATTATTATTATTACATAGAAATGCTAGATTTCTGTGTGTTAACTTTATATCCTGCTACTTTGCTAAATGTGTTTATTCTCACAGGTTTTTTGTGGAACTATTAAGATTTTCTATATATAAAATCATATGCAAATAGACATAATTTTATTTCTTCCTTTCCAATATGGATTCATTTTATTTCTTTATCTTGCCTAATTGATCTGGCTATAACTTCCAGTACTATGTTGAATAGAAATAGTGAAAGTGCAAGTCCTTGCTTTGATTCCTACACAGGAAAAGCTTTCAGTCTTTCACCATTGATAATGTTTGCTGTGTGTTTTTCATATATGGCTTTACTTATGTGGATATAGTTTCTAGTTGTTGAGTGTTTCTTTTTTTCCATAAAAGGGTGTTCAATTTTGTAAACTATCATCTTTACATCAACTGAGATAATCAGGTGTTTTTTATTTTCCTTCATTCTGTTAATGTGATATATTACATTGATTGACTTTTTGTGTGTGTTGAATCATTCTTGCATTCCTGAAATAAATTTTGCTTTGTCATGGTGTAAAATCCTTTCAATATGCTGCTAAATTCAGTTTTCTAGACTTTTATTCAGGATATTTGCATCAATGTTCATAAGGGATGTTGGTCTTTTGTTTCATTTCCTTGCAATGTTTTTGTCTGGCTTAGCTATCAGTGTAATGCTGGCTTCGTAGAATGAGTTGGGGTGTTCTGTCCTCTTTGATGTTTTGGAAATGTTTGAGAAGGACGGGTGTTAGTTCTTTAAATTTTTAAGTAGAATTCATGAATAAAGACATAAGTTTCAGGGTTTTTATTTCTTAGAAGATTTTTGATTACTAACTTAATATCCTTGCTAGTTATAGATCTATTCAAATTTTCTACTTTCTCATGATTTGGTCTTGGCAGGTGTTGTGTTTCTAGAAATTTGTTCATTTCAGCTAGGTTTTCTAATTTGTTGGCATCTGATTGTTAATAGTATTGACTTCTAATTTTTTTTATTTCTGTAGAATCAATAGTAATGTCCCCACTTTCATTTCAGATTTTAGTAATTTGGATCTTTTCTCTTTTTTCTTAGTCCTTATATAGGTAAAGATTTGTCATTTTCATTCACCTTCTCAAAGAACACATTTTTTGCTTTATTATTTTTTATATTGTTTCTTCTATCTCTAATTTGTTTATCTCTAATCTTTATTATTTATTTCCTTCTTTCTTCTAGCTTTGGATTTAATTTGTCTTTTTTTAATTTCAAAATTTGTAAAATGAGTTTGTTTTTTAATTTTTTAAATTTAAGTGTTCGTAGCATAAATTTTCTCAGCACTTTCAATATGTCCCATATGTTTTGATGTATTGTATTTATATTTTCATGTCGCTAAGTATTTTTTAATTTCACTTGTGATTTCTTCCTCAATCTATTGATTATTTAAGAGTGTGTTATTTAATTTCCACAAATTTGTGAATTTTCTAGTTTTAGTTATTTTATTGATTTCTGACTTCAATCTATTTCGTTGAGAAAAGATACTTGTATGATATCTTTTTTTTTTTTTTTTTTGAGATGGAACCTTGTTCTGTCACCCAGGCTAGAGTGCAGTGGCACGATCCTTGCTCACTGCAACCTCCGCCTCCTGGGTTCAATTCTCTGCCTCAGCATCCTGAGTAGCTGGGATTACACATGCCCACCACCACACCTTGCTAATTTTTGCATTTTTAGTAGAGAAGGGGTTTCACCATTTTGGCCCAGCTGGTCTTGAACTCCTGACCTCATGATCCACCTGCCTCAGTCTCCCAAAGTGCTGGGATTACAGGTGTGAGCCACCACACCCGGCCTATTTTCTTAAATTGATTGAGACTTCCTTTGTGGCCTAATGTAGGTCAATCATTAAAAATATCCCAGGGTACTTGAGAAGAATATATGCGTTGTTAAGTGGACAGAGTATTCTGAATATGTCTGGTAGATCTAGTTGGTTTATTGTGTTAGGTCCTATATTTTCTTACTTATCTTCAATCTGATTGTCCTATTGTTGAAAGTTAGGTATTTAAGTCTACAACTATTATTGTATACTGTCTATTTCTCCCTTTAATTCTGTAATTTTTATTTTATGTATTTTGAAGATTTAATATTAGTTATATGTTTATAATTTTTATATCTTCCTACTGTATTGAACAGTCTATTAATATATAATTCCCTTTGTTATTTCTTATAAACTATTTTATTTTAAGTTCATTTTGTCTGATACTAGTAGAGCCATCCTGGCTCTCTTTTGATTACTATTTTCATGGAATATATTTTTCTATTCTTTCACTTTCAACCTATTTGTGTCTTTGAATCTAAAGTAAGTTTCTTGTAGGCAGCATATAATTGGATCATGTATTTTTATGCATTCTACTAATCCATATATTTTTACTATAGAGTTTAATCAATTTACATTTAAAGTAATTACAGATAGGAACAGATTTACTTCTATCTTTTTGCTACTTACTTCCTATATGCCTCATAACTGTTTTTGTCCCTCATTTTCTGCATTATTCTCCTTTTGCATTTAGTTCATTTTTCTCTAAAGAAATGTTAAATTCCTTTCTCATTTTCTTTTGTGCATATTCTATAGAATATTTTGTGGTTAGCATGGGAACTATATTTAACATTCTAAAATTGTAGCACTCTAATTTGGATTTATATCAGTTTAACTTCAGCGACATACAAAACCCTGCTCCTTTACAGCTTCACCACCACCTCTTTCAGTTGTTGATGTCAAACAATTTTATCTTTACACATTTTGTGCCCCAAAATATAACCTAATAATTATTTTAAATGCATTAGTTATTAAAATTATGTGTAAATAAAATGTACAGTTATAAACCAAAGTTTCAATAATACTATCATTTATATTAATAATTTCTATCATGCAGAAATCATGACTTTTAAATCATGCAGAACAATAGAGTGAAGGCCGGGTGTGGTGGCTCATGCCTGTAATCCCAGCACTTTGAGAGGCCAAGCCTGGAAGATTGCTTGAGTCCAGGAGTTCCAGCCAGCCTGGACAACTTACCGAGACACCATCTGTACCAAAAAATAAGCAAAAAATAGCTCATTGTGATGGCATGTTCTTGTAGTCCCAGCTACTTGGGAGGCTGAGGTGAGAGGACTTTTTGAGCCCAGATCTTCAAGGTGAGTGAGATACAACTGCACCACTACACTCTAGCTTGGCAACAGAATGAGGCCCTGCCTCTAAAAAAAGAAAAGAAAAGAAAAGAAAGAAAGAAAATAAAAAGAAACAAAACAAAGAGTGAAGTTACAATCCATTGTTATAATAATATTATCTTATATAATTTCCCAGATATTTATCTTCATTTGGACCTTTATTTCTTCATATGGCTTCAGGTTACTATCTGGTGTCCTTTCATTTTACCTTGCAGAACTCCATGAAGTACTTCTTTCAGGGCAGTTCTACGGGTAAGGAAATTCCTTAGATTTCATTTATTTGGACATGTTTCAATTTCTTCCAGGCCACTGCCTTCTGGTATCCAAGTTTCTGATGTGAATCTGCTTTTAATCTTATTGAGTAGCTCTCATATATGATGTGTCATTTTCTCTTGTTGCTTTCAAATTATCTTTGTCTTTCCTAAGTTTGATTATAATGTGTCTTATCTTGAGGCTCTTTGAGTTACTTGGAGTTTGTTGAGCTTCTTGTATATTTATATTTCTGTGTTTAATAATAATTGAGAAGTTTTTGGCCATTATTTTTTCAAATGTTCTCTCTGGTTCTTTCCCTTTCTCTTCCCTATCTGGAACTTCCATAATGTGTAGATGGTTCACTTGATGGTGTCCCACCAATCATTTGGGTTCTGTTCTGTTTTCTTCATCTTATTTGCTTTATTCCTCAGGCTTGATAGTTTCTATTTTCCCATCTTCAACTTCAGAGATTCTCCTTTTATAACTGGTCACCTATGTCTTTGAATTTCTCTTGTAATTTTTTTTCAGTTATTGAAATTTTCAGCTCCGTAATTTGTTTATTTTTAGGTTTGCTATTTATTGATATTTATACTTTGTTCATACATATTTTTTTAACTTTCTCCACATCTTCCTAAAGATGAGTATCTTTAAGACCATGGTTTTAAAGTCTTTGTCAGGTAAATCTGCCATTAGTTCTTTTTAGGGACAGTTTCTGTTGACTCATTTTTATATATCTGAATGTGCCATACTACCTTCTTTCTTTATATGCTTTATGATTTTTTGTTGTTGAAAATTGGACATTTGTATCTAATAATGTGGTAACTTTGGAAATCTTTCCCATACTTAGTTTGATGTTTTTGTTTATTGGTTTTTAAAAATTGTTTAGGCTGTTTCTGTGCCATGGATCAGCCTGAGAGTTAAACTTAGGCCCTCCTCAGGTCTTTTCTGAGCCTGTGTTTTTGCCTGGGCATGTGCTGTCACTTTCTAATTTTCCAAGATATACAATTATTTTTGAATGTGCTAGTTATTAATGCTTGGCTTCCAAAAGGGAGAAAAAAAGAAAAATAAAAAGGTTGTGGGGGGGGGAGCATGCTGGTCCTTTAAGTCCTCTGGAAATCTCTTCAGTCACAGGAGGTGGGGCTTACAACAATGGAGGCAGATGTAACAATAACGGTTACCTGCTTCTTTATCTGTGCTTCTGTGATCAGAAGAATTAATCGGAGATCAGACCAAAGATTCCTTATATTTGCAGGACAAGGTCTTTTTTGCTCACCCTTATCCCCACAAGCTGTTACAGGAACACCTGCACAGCTGCCTGCCACAGAGCTCGGAATGTGGGATGGGTAGCTGTTGCTGCACTAAAGCCTGAAAATGATCAAAATTAACTGCACTTTACTGTCCAAGCCTTCCCCTGGAAGTCACAAGCCTTCAGTAGACTCCAGTGTTCCAAAATATTACATCAGACAAATTCTGCCAGAGCAATTGTTGTCTCAATGAGGAAACATATTCCTGTTGCTTCCTACTGTGCCATCTTCCCAGAATCCTCTCTTGTATGACGTGTTTTAATAACTGAACACTATGCAAAGATTATGTGAGTTAATTACCCTTTTGATTAAAGTTATTGGAGGAGTGATGTAGAAAAGAGACATAGTAAGTAGTAATTATTTGGTAACTGATATATGCCAAGCACTATATTGAATGACACATTAAACGTTAATTTAATTTAATGTAAGTTATCAGTATTTTTTTTAAACCCTTTCATATTAGTTAACTAGCTTTTTTTTCTGTTTTATTTATTCTGTGATACGACTTGGTTTTTCTCTCTCAGACATCCACTAAAAATGGGATGGAAGTTACTGGAAATCCAAAATTAGATATTCTGCTCTGTAACATTTGAAGTGTAGGTAGATGGTATATTTGTTCTACTCCAGTTTTTATCATTATATCATAAAGTCCCCCTCCGAAATTTTTGAATAATATGTAAATACTTGGTACTGGAATAATTACTTTTGAATATTGAAAATTTGGACCATACTTCATTTGTAATTTTTGATAGCTAAGAATTTGCATATATAACATCATCAAATTTTAGATTTAGCAGAAACATTCACTTTTTTAGCAAACAAACAAAAGTCCAAAGTTCATGTTTATTAAAATGTATTTTTCTCTGCCAACAATTTTCAGTCATACTCTTAAAAAGGAGAACTACTTTAATTTCAGTGCTTTTTATCAAGTCGGAAACGAACAACTGAGATTTCTTTCATTTACCAATTTTCACAGAAAAAAATTATACTTGAATTTTAAAAGACACTGCATGTGAACTTCTCTACTTACACATGAGCTGCCTTGGGTGACTCTCTGCTTTAGTTTGTCTAACCCTAAAATTGCAATAAAAGGTAGATAAAATTCACTGGGCTGTTGTAAGGATTAGAATATGTGCATTCAGTGCTTAGCACAGAGCTTATTAAAGCTCAATACCTGCTTCCAATTATTTTATTATTTATCTATTAAATTCTACCTACAGGCAATAGCCTATTCTTATTGAAACCTACCCAATAATTTATAAATTTTGCTAAACCAAAAGTCTCTTACCCTGCATTATTCTGAGTTGTGTAAAGTTTTACATTATTTATAATTATAAACCCATCTTAATGACAATGAAATTCTATACCAAAAAGATCTGTAAATGCAAACTCATTTGCTTTTATTTCCACATACATCAAGCTATGGTCCTATATAGTTGTCATAAAGATTTAATTTTAAATAAGAATACTGTTAATTTTTATAAGTATATAGAAACTATACATTAATTTTTCTTAAAAACCTTAAATAAAAATTATCCATTTTGATGAATGATAATTAGCTTTTCCTCTAGAGCATTGGTAATGTATAACAGCATCCTCTCTCTCTCATTTTACTTTGGTATGTCAGTGTACAGATGGGCCTTCTTTGTTGACAAGGCAGTAATGATGATGCCCCTATCACTTTTCAGCTCTTCTCATTAGCGTCTAACCACTTTCATTTATTATGACTGATTCCCCCTAGTTCCGCATATTAAATGTTAACAAATGGTTCTCATTTTATATGACAATTCTAATAATTAATGATTATGGAAGCATATTAGGCATGTAATGCCAAAATATATTACCTGTAATGTTAATCTCTAATTTGAGTTTCTTTTGTATGTTGGGAATAGAATATGCTATTTAGAAGAAAATGAATATATATGTGTAAACACACTTGCATTTCTACAAATCTCCTTCTCAGTCTTTTGCCTATTAATTTAAATCAATAAAGAATTTCGATTCTAATTTCCCATCATCAGTGTCAGGCTTGCAAGAGAGCTCTTTGTGGTTTAGAGAAGAACAGCATAGCTGTAATTCATAATGGAAAGGGATGCAAGGTGGCAAAGGGAAATATATTCTTGACGTTGCGTTGCTTTATTGCCCAACTGACTATGGGAGAAGATCACTTTCCTTGCATGATGGATTACTAGTTTTCCTTCTATCCAGCTTTGGGAAAGAAGGACAAGGGTAGAGAAGCAGGCCTAAACACTTCGGGGCTCAACTAATGAGCACCAAAAAGACTATAGACAATGCAGTAGAAAGAAAAATGCAAAGAGAAGGGAGGTGAGTGAAACAGTGCCTCAGAAATAAGGAACAGAATTGAGGAAATGTCAGAACTTGATCACACAATCATCCATCAGGAGTCCTGACCGTTTGTAATATCTCAGCACAAATAGGACAGGCACAAGAGAGATTCACTGATGTCAAGGCATATCATATAGACTTCAGCCTAATCTATGCTGCTTGTTAAAATTTTTTCAAGATTCATTTTGTTTTCTTTTATTTTACCTCACAATCACATCCTGTTGCCAAATGAATGTTATTTCTTAGTAAAACACATAATAAGATGTTATTAGGGACTGACATTCTACCCGATACTCAACTTTTCAGTCAGGAATGGATCTAAAATTCAGTGTGTTCTTTATACACTACTTAGTTGAACAAATATCTGCAAAATACTTTAGCATATCCCAGAGAGTACTAGAAAATAAGGTTATATAGTGAAGAACCAAACGGATTATTGTTCTTGATAGCTTCAGGATCTGGTAGAGGAGAAATGGCCATATAATCTTAAACCTTGATATGAAAGTGTCATATAACAGAGATTTAGAGGATAAAATCCTGAAGAAGGTAATGTTTTGGTGAAGTTTAAAAAAAAAGTAAGAAGAATATTCCGTACATAGAGAATAAGATGAACTAAGGTATAGCATAAACAAAACAGAACAAGACGCTAGAGTGTTCCTGGCAACTCTGAACAACTTGACCTTACTAGAAGGTAAAATGCAGGAACATGGGCATGACAGGTGGTAAGAACTGTAGGCAACAGGTCATGGAGGGACATGTGGCTCCCTGTTACTCAGTGTTATCCACAGCCCTTGGCATTGGCCACTGCTTGAGTTTATTGGAAATGTAACATCTCAGGCCAGAAGCACTATATCAAAATCTGGATTTTAACAAGATCCTTAGGTGATTCATTTGCATGTTAATGTGCAAAAGCACTGGTGTAGTAGATGTGGACACATCTAAGAAAAACCTAACTGGAAGTTTGGGGACTACAAGCTCCTCTCAGCTATGGTCTCCACCCTTCTCTTTTCCTTTCTCACCAAGATTAACCCCCTACAGTAGCTTCAGTTTCAACTTGGACCTTGAATTCCTGCTTTGTGCTGCTTGATTTTCATGACACCCACGACCACATCCCCATACCATTAAAAGCCTGAGTATGGAATGCCTTCGGTGTGTAAGGGTAAAAGGAAGGTGGCAAAGGCATTGTGAAAAACCTTGAAGTTCATATGAAGAATTAATATTCTTTCAGTGCATGATGGTGTCAGTGTTTTCACATACATTTTTCTCACATCAGCCTGTGAGACCATGACCAATTTCCTCATTTTACAGATGAAGAAATTGAGAAAAATGGTATCAACTGTGGAAAGTCACATGGCTGAGGAAGACGCAAAATAGGGACTGAACCCTGGCTTTTCTAATATCAGGCTAAGTGCTGCTGCTGCTTCTTCAGGTTGCTCTCCAAGCTGGTGTGCCTCCCTATCCCTGACCCACCTGTTTCCCATTGCTGCATTGCACTCTAGTGTCATTGTGGGACAGAGGATCCAAGGGCACTGGAGTTGAGAGAGACTCAGGAGAGTTCTGCTAGAGGATGGTTGTGTTCAGCCTGTTCAAAGGAATCAGATCTGGTGAATCTTAGGGAAGTTTGGTTCTTTTGCCCTAAATAAAAATAGCCAGGAAAAACAATTATGTTATTTTTATATTAATTCTAATTGAGAATAGGGATTAAATCCTGATGAAAGTTGCCTTTTTTTTCCTTTTTACTGCTCAAGGATACAAAATAGCATGTTTTTAGGGTAAAAACCACTCCACTGGAACATGGTCAGGGTAAGGTTGAGAATTCATCTTAATGATTGAATTAAAATGTCTATATAGATAGTTTGATTGATTAAATTGAGATGAGTTATTACAAAAATAATTAAGTTAGAAAAAAAGATTATACTGAGAAACAACTGAGTGTTCAAATATGGGTAGAATAAAATCCCCCACTCCTCAATTATTCAGCTTTTGATCATCAATTGAAAATGGGCAAAAGAGAACCATGGGGAAAAAAATTATGAATGTCTTTGGATACGCTTGTGCTTTCTTCACTCAATTTCTTTTGAAGGTTTCAGATCCTAAACTTCTCTTTGGCTAGTGGAGAGAAAGCAGAGACTCTTCATCATCAAAATAGAGATGCTGTTCTGCTGTAGTGGTCAATAATAATTTGATCACTGAGGGTTCAAAGTAGCTCTACACTCAGTTTTTTCACACCTTCAGCTCAGAGGCAAATGATGTTACTTAAACCCTAAAACTCTGCATCTGAAGTGTACATAAAGAGAAAATATCTGCTATAAATTCAGGGCAGAAAAAACTGAGGGGGAAGAAAAATATTTGAGGATAAGAAAGTAGAAATAGGATGGTGAGATCTTCTGTTTGTTCCTGTTATATATGTCATTTCAGCTTTGGAAGTTCTACCTCCAGTGGAAATGAAATCTTAATTCATCTCAAACTTTGAGGGACCTGTATGCCCTCATCGAAATCAGGGATGTTGACTTTTAAGACAAATATGTGACTGTCTCTCCTTACCTTGTCATTTACTTTACAATCATAGAGACACTGTTAAGACAGGGATAAGAGTATATGACTAAGATAAGACTGCAATATAGCAAAAAGTAACTCTAAGAAAGAGGTAGCGATTCCTTGTTTAAGAAATAATATTTAGGCCAGGTGTGGTGGTATACACCTGTAGTTCCAGCTACTAAGGAGACTGAGGCAGGAGGATTGCTTGAGGCCAGGAGTTTGAAGCTGCAGTGCACTATGATCATGCCTGTAAATAGCCACTGCACTCCAGCCTGGGCAACATAGTGAGACCTCATCTCTAGTATATATGTGAAATAATATATATTATGTTATATATATTATTATATATATGAAATAGCATTTAATATTATGTGGAAACAGAGTCATCTGGATTCAGATCTTCTAGATATGGCCAAGAAGCATAAACAAAAATTTTTTAAAGATATCATCTTGAATAATGCCAGTAGATATGTGTATCAACACTTTGCTAGTGTGAAAGACTATGAAGGACGGCAATAGAAGTCATATGAGAGGCCGAGAGGCTCAATCTAACCCTAGAAGGGCTAAAAATAATATCACAATCCTTACAGCCTATGAAAAGAAAGAGGTAGTTATGAGGGAATGTAATTGGCTATAAAATCTTAAATGTTGTAGACAATGACAAGATACACTGGTTGTTGTCACCCAGCTTAGAAAAGACAAGCTGAAGAAGAGAAAAATAATTCCTCTTAGCTCATGAGAAAGTGCTATTCACACAGAGGCTATGGGTACCCAGCATGACTTGTTGCAAAAGGATGAATTCAAGGAAAGCAAGACAAGAGCATCCAGGGGAGACTAAAGCCTTATGTTGTGATTCAGGTGTGTAAGAACTCGGAATGAATAGATTATGACTCTAGTATTAATGAAACGTTTTATCACTACACACTCTGTAAATGTCTATATAGATCAGGAGTAGAAACTGTGTCTTTCTGTGTCCTTGCTAATCATTATATCCACAATTCCCGGCTTTCAGAAGTAGATCCTCAATTAGTTCTTCCTAAGTGAGTAAACGAATGACTATTATGCTTGATGATGTAAGATGTTTAGGGAGGTAAGAAATAGTATCATAACATTGTGTTTTACATTCAGCTAATATACAGAGAACTAAAGAATGTGAGGACTGCATTAGACATCACAACATCCTCAAATCTGTTATTGCTTCTGAGATGAATACTCTTGCATTGTCCCTATAAAGAAACTTATTCCTTTTATTCATTAAGAACTTCAGAAAGAAGCATTATCAATTACAATTTACTTTCCAATAGTAATTTCCAACAAGACATACACAAAAATTAGTCAAATAAACAATACCAAAGCACTTACCCAAATGTCAATTGTCATAGTCAGGTTCTCCTGGTCTTAACAAGGCCAAGTCACCTCAATGAATAAAAATAGTTTCTTTTGGTTGAACTATGTTAATGTTCTGTGAAAAGAAACAATGTCTCAACCCAAAAGGCATTGAATCATTTTTTGAATAATTGCAATTTAAGCTTGGAAGGAAGGGTTGAAGATTGTTTTGGATCTTCAGTTCTTACATCTTCATGAGCAATACATAAAGAAGGGCAATGAAGCTGAAAGAATGCTATAAACAAGGCATTTTAGTGGTGTCTGTGCTCAGAAAGTAGGACAATGTGTTCTAAAAGTTTTTGAGGGCCATGATTAGAGGTTGAAATTGAGCCTACATGCTAGTTGGAAGAGCCAGCAGAAGATGGTAGAATTAGATCTTAGGTGGAAAAAGATTCTGCTTTTCCAAGAACCTATGAATCTGAGACAAACAGCTCTGACCTTTACTGATGAGAGAAATAAGTAAAGTTACCAAGATGGAAGATAATTCATCTATGTACAGAAATATCCTTATCAAACCATCTGAGGGATAGAGAGGTTGAAAAAATATGAACTGGACTAGGGTACAGCCAATTAAAAATGATTAATTGGGTCAAAGAGATTTGCTCTGGACTTTGAATGGATGTTTTACCACAAAATGGTTTAGTTAGAAAAGAATATTGAAGCTGAATCATGCAAAGAACCCATGACTTGATACTCATAAGAAGCTGGATTTGTGAGAAAACAGATGCTATGATTGACCAGATATAGTTTGGGGGAAAAAAAAGGTATGCAAAAGTAAGGGGAAATAATCACAGTTAAGGTGGAACTAGGAAGAATAATGGATATTCAGGGATGGATATTTGTGGAAAGTAGCTAAGTCATCTTTGTGATAGAAAGATATTAACACATTCCTGCTCTTTCTGCAACCTTGCTCTGTTATAATTCCTGCTCATTCTGAATTTAGAGTAAAAAATTCATTAGAAAGTATATCCTTATAATGGAGCTCTAGTCTTTGTGATCAACCTACTTTATGACCAAGTACCAGATTTTAACCTGTACAGTAACTAAGCCAGTTTTCATTGGCACTTTCTCAATTTTAGATATTTTGTCACATTGTTCACATACAGTTCACAGTAAGTTCAGTTCTATTTGTGGTTTTGAAAATGCAAACCCCATGCTTTTAGCTAGCTTGATACAATTTACAAAGAAGGGCGAGGATAAGAGAAGGAAGGAGGAAAGAAAGTAGAGAAGCAGAGAAAGAGGAAGGAAAAGATGGCGGAAGAAAAGGAGAGAAAAAAGAAGACAAAGAAATAAAGATTAAAAGATGGAAAGATTTGGATAGGAAGAATATGATCCAATGTTTAGCAAATTCCCCTGAGTTTGGAGTTTAAGATTTGTTTACCTACAGCAAGTCTTTTAAAGTTACCATCTGTCAAAAAGAAATGTTAGTCAATTTCAGAGAAAAAAAATTGCCTGCCCAAATATGTGAGACCTGAATCTTCTGGGTAAACAAAATGCTTCCACATATAACATAAAATAAACATTCTCAATGTTAAGATATGGGTGGTGTTTGCATGTGACTTGTGTACCGATAATCTATCTATCACTAACATTTCCTTTTTTAAAAGAATAACCATGCTTACAGAACCAAAAAATCTATTTTTAAAAAATGTTTGGATGTTCCTGGTTGAGTCTCTGCATGTTTCTGGTTGAATAAGCAGGCCTATTTTCATGTAATGACTCAATGGAATGGTTATAGCCACTTCAATAATATAACAAAATGTACTTTTATATTCCATCATAAAATTACTATACCAAAAGTGTCCAACAGTTTATCAGTTCTTAGAGCAGCTAGTGTAGGATGTTACTGAGTGAGAAAGATGTGAAATCTCTCAGATGTGTCTAAGTATCCCAAGCTGTACACACAAGGGAAGTATTCTCCTGACCCTTTCTGTTGATCAGCTTATGTTATAAGACATATGGGTTAATGACCCTTATAACATAGTTTTGCTTCAGTGAACAATGTAACTAGAGATTTCTTTTATTGTCCTATAAATACCATGTTTTCCTTGAACAATTACTGTATTCATCATGTGTCTTCCTCAAATTATTTTCTAGTGTTATTATTTCACATATGAAATAAGCATCACTAAACCATATATAAAATGAATGTATTTGGGGGAATAACTATTAGAAAGGAACTAGCCTTAAGAGCAGGGAAGCATGTTGAAAATAATTGGGACCAAACTGAAAAGTCCAAACAATTTCTCACCACCAGCCTCAGACTGTACTAAATTGATTGAGTTTGAAGGAGAAGGACAGTTCTAGAAGCTATTTTCTCTCTTATCTCATGGTTCTAAGAATGAGTGTGTGAGTTTGTGTGTCAGAGAGGCACTCTAAAACATTAGCACTGATAGAAAGAGTGAAAGGTAAAGTACCTAAATTTGAACCCAGGTTTCATCACTTGCTAGCTATATGATCTTGGACAATTAATCCATCTCAATTCAGTTTCCCCAGCCGTAAAAAAAACATGAATAATAGTAACTTCTTTCTAGATGTTGTGTGGATTCAGTGAGAAAGAGCCTGAAAAGCCCCTAATATGCTACTTGGCACATGGTAAGCACTAAGCAGAGGTGAATATCCGGTAATGATTATAACTATTCTCATGACTATTCTGTTTTTCCTTTTTGTTTTTGTTTTTGTTTTTTTGAGGCAGACCTTCACTCTGTTGGCCATGCTGGAGTGCAGTGGTAAGATCATGACTTACTGAAGCCTCAACTTCCTGGGCTAAAGCAATCCTCCCACATTAGCCTCCCAAGTAGCTGGGACCACAGGCATGCACCACAAACCCAGCTATTTTTTAAGACAAATTTTTGGTAGAGACAGGGTTTTACCACGTTGCCCAGGCTGATCTTGAACTCCTAGGCTCAAGTGATCCTACCACCCCTCCTAAATTGTTGGGATTAGAGGTATGAGCTCCCATGCCTGGCAACTATTCTTTATATACTCACAGTGATTAAACTGGCTCATATAAATAGAATGAAGGATATTTTCTTTTAATATTTTCTATGCGAAGATACCCTCACCAAGAGGCCACTGAAAGGGGTAAGGGACATGTTTGGGGAGGAAGCTTTTGCATCAAAGCAGGTTGGAATAAAAATGCACAGCCCAGATGATTTCAGAATGATCCTAAAGGGAGGAAGAAAATACTCTGAAGGCAAGTAAAGAATAAAATGTTGCGAGTAAATTTACCCAAGTATGAAACTGCATTCACTGCTTGCTTATGATGTGCCGGTCACTGTGCTAGTGCTGCCATTATAATGAAGGTGGGGTTTGGGCTATAAATGGTGAGAGGGAGAGAAAAATTAAGTCATCCTTAAATATGTCGAGAGGACAGTGAATGAATGAAGCAGAAGACAGGGTAGAGAAAAGCAGGTAAAAGTGAGAATAAATTACTAAATCTAAGCTTTGTCTTAGTATTTGGTTCCTAACTCATTCTGACCAGGATTTCTGAGCAACACAATCAGCTATATGGTACAACACCCTAGGAGAATCCAATACTTCTGTCTCACAGCGGTTGTTACATGTAATGACATAATTGTACAAAGAGAGAAATGGAGGGAAGTTTAACTGGTATTATTATTATTATTATTACTATTATTATTTTCTGAGACAGAGCCTCGCTCTGTCACCCAGGCTGCAGTGCAGTGGCATGATCTCAGCTCGCTGCAACCTACGCCTCCTTGATTCAAGCAGTTCTCCTGCCTCAGGCTCCTGAGTAGCTAGGACTACAGGTGTGCGCCACCATGCTTGGCTAATTTTTGTATTTTTAGGAGAGACGAGGTTTCATCATGTTGGCCAGGCTGGTCTCGAACTCCTGACCTCGTGATCCACCCGCCTTGGCCTCCCAAAGTGCTGAGATTACAGGCGTGAGCCACCACGTCCTGCCTCATTAGTGTTATTATTTCCAAAGGCTGCAACATTGAAAATGCAATAGCAGTTTTCTTGTACATTTACCTGAAACACTAATGTCTGACATCATTTTGATGGGAGTAGGAGTTGGGGGCTTACACATATATTGCTTTGCCAACATATGCAAATGTTTGGAAAGTCTTCCACATTTAAAGGAGGAAAAAAATACAACATAAATTGTAGTCAAGGGAAAAACAGACCATTGTTTGGTTTTCCATCTTCCCTGGGGAGCAGCTGCTGATTTCACTCTAATTTTAGCTGCTATTGCTTTGAGCTAAACTTTCCATTTTTATTAAAAAAAAAAACAAAAAAAAAAACTTTGAGTCTAGAGGATTACAAGCGCCTGTGCTTTTGATTTTTAATAAAAAGCGAGCATTTACCTCTGAACAGTAGCAGCAAGAAAGGGAATTAAACCTGAGGCTAGTGAGCTGACCTTTAGAGAGGTGCCGATCCAGAGGGATATGCAGAATTTAACACACATCCCTTTTCTTTCTCATGTACACACTCTCCAGCTAGTGTTCTTTTTCATATATTTATTTAACTGGGAAAATTGGTGATATTTAAAAAATTTATTATTCATTCATGTTTGTGTTTGATGTATTAGCTAGGTGACTAAAGCCCCTCTAAGTGTTACATAGGCTAGTATGATTAGATTTCCGTATATAATATGAATGCTGATGGTGCTGATTTAAGGTACGGAATAGAAAGAGAAATCATGTAACTATCTGTATACAAGATACTACTGAATGGGGAATCTGGGGTGATGCCTGACGTAGTGAAACTAATCACTCCAACACAGCTGACAAAACACTGCTTTCAACTGGGAATATGTATACCCAAATTGCAGGAAAATCTCATTTTTTAATCTGTTAACTTTTTTATAGAGGAAAGGAAGCATAGTAAATTTAGTTTAATTTGCATTTGACTTTTTGGTAAAACAAGTATATTTCTGTGGCATTAAATAAATACCACTGTTTAAAGAGAAATGGTTGATGATCCATGAATTCAGTTTACTAATTACTGTTTGCATTATTCCCCTACTTCTCCCAGTAATCCCCACCCCCCCAATTCTATACAACACTATTTTGCCTCACTAAAGGAAGCCATCGATAACTAGCTTAGAATGTAAAATGTTGAGGCTCTTGAAGTGGGCCTTTCACTTCTTTTATTTTTTTCATTCTCTACTCCTGCTTCTTGTGGAAAGAGTGTCAGCCTGATAGAATAGAGGTTGGGAGTTCATGTTTCTGTTAGAAATCTCTCATAGTTTTAATTCTCTCTGTCAAATGGATCACTACTCTTACAGCATTTAATTAGCTTTATCATCCAAAAACTTCTACTTTCAGAGAAAATACTTAAAGAGGCCTTGGTTACAGTATCCAAATATAATATATTGTATTGATTTTTGTTTTTATGAATTTTGCCTTCATGTGGGTATTGGTGTTAATTAGATGTTTACATTGAATGCTAGCTGCGTTATGTTTAATTACCTCTGTTATTTAACTTTTCTTGTAATTTTAAGTTAGTTAAAATTGTAACCATGGGATAATAGAAACCTCTCTTGGAGCTAATTAGATGACTAAAGATCATTTGTAAAGGTCAGGCTGACAGTTGGCTTGGGACAAGTGAGAGGCTTACTGAGTAGTGAATGGCAGTAAGGAGATATACTCTGTGTAGACTTAGAGAATGTCAGACTGGAAGGACATCAGAGATGGTTGTGCCCAACCCTTTTCTCCTCCTGGTGTGGAGACTAACTGGAGCACACTAGCTGCTACATCTCTCTGTGACTTACTGTGAAATCTTTAAATGAATGATTTAATTTCTTAATGTCTGGCTCATACAATCTATTACTAAACTCCAACTTTCGACTAATGTGATGTAGATTGTCTAAGGAACTTAAAAGACATGACACACTTTGCCATGATCAGAGATAAGAGTGCACGTTGTATTACTAAAATTTTTTTTTTTTTTTTTTTTGAGATGGAGTCTCACTCCATCACTCAGGCTGGAGTGCAGTGGCACGATCTTGGCTCACTGCAACCTCCGCCTCCAGGGTTCAAGCAATTTTCCTGCCTCAGCCTCCTGAGTAGCTGGGATTACAGGCACCCACCACCACGCCTGGCTAATTTTTCTACTTTTAGTAGAGATAGGGTTTCACCATGTTGGCCAGGCTGGTCTCGAACTCCTGACCTCAAGTGATCCGCCTACCTCAGCCTCCCAAAGTGTTGGGATTACAGCCGTGAGCCACCGCGCCCGGCCTTATTACTGATTTTATATAAGACATTTGAATTAATTGGTTAAATGAAGAGACTTCTGGCCTTTTAAATGGATTTTTGATCCAATCGCTCACTTAGAAACCTCTTTTCTTGCTACTAATTAAAAACAAAAATCATGAACTATAACTACTGCCCCCAGTTTCCCCCTTAACATCATGCAGATGAGATTGGGCTGTCTTTGGGGCCGGGCGCGGGGGCTCACGCCTGTAATCCCAGCGCTTTGGGAGGCCAAGGAGGGTGGATCACAAGGTCAGGAGATCAAGACTATCCTAGCTAACACGGTGAAACTCCGTCTCTACTGAAAATACAAAAAATTAGCCAGACGTGGTGGCGGGCGCCTGTAGTCCCAGCTACTCGGGAGGCTGAGGCAGGAGAATGGCGTGAACCCAGGAGGTGGAGCTTGCAGTGAGCCGAGATCGCGCCACTGCGCTCCAGCCTGGGAGACAGAGCGAGACTCCGTCTCAAAAAAAAAAAAAAAAAGAAAGAAAGAGATTGGGCTCTCTTTGTATTGTGTCCGGAGTTTGTTCCTTCCAGTGGGTTCTGGTCTGGCTGACTTCAAGAATTGAGCAGCAGACCTTCACAGTGAGTGTTACAGCTCTTAAAGATGGCACGAACCTAGACAGTGAGCAGCAGCAAGATTTATTGTGAAGAGCCAAACAACAAAGCTTCCACAGCGTGGAAGGGGACTCGAGTGGGTTACCTCTGGTGGCTGGGGATGGCCAACTTTATTCCTTTATTTGTCCCTGCCCTTGTCCTGCTGATTGGTCCATTTTACAGAGTGCTGATGGGTCCATTTTGCAAACCTCTAGCTAGCTGCAGAAATGTTCTTCAAAGCCCCACTCAAGCCGGGAAATCCAGCTGGCTTCACCTCTCAGTATCACTGGAACAGTACTGTTGAAAATCATCCAAAACATCTCTCTGGCCAAATTGAGTGACCTCTTTTCAGGTTTAATCCTCTTTTATTTCATTTTGGCAATAACTTTTATGCTTGACACCTCATTTTTAAAGCACTCTTACTTTCCTTACCTTTCTTTCTTTCTCTTTTTTTTTTTTTTTTTCTTTTTTTGAGATGGAGTCTTGCCCTCTCACCCAGGCTGGAGTGCAATGGCATGGTCTTAGCTCACTGCAACCTCTGCCTCCCGGGTTCAAACGATTCTCCTGCTTCAGCCTCCTGAGTAGCTGGGATTACAGGCACCCGCCATCCTGCCCAGCTAATTTCTGTATTTTTAGTAGAGACGGGGTTTCATAATGTTGGCCAGGCTGGTCTCGAACTCCTGACCTCGTGATCTACCCGCCTCGGTCTCCCAAAGTTCTGGGATTACAGGCGTGAGCCACGGCGCCCGGCCTTTTCCTTGCCTTTATATACTGCTCTATCCTAACTTTTCTCCCAACTTTCTTTTCATATATGTTCGTTTATTCAACAATCACTTATAATCACCTACCATTTGTCAGATATTTTGCTAGACATGGAGGGTACTTTGATGAATGATAACTCCTAAAACAACCTAAAAGGCATACCCAAACAGAGCCTTGTAGAGAGTATAGGGTTGTATGAAATCCTACTTGCCAATAACTACTAATGATTAGTAGTTTCAATTCAGTATCTTACTGCTTCACTAGAACCTGTGATGTTTCCCAATTATTTGAGTTGTTACATCTCAGCATTTCAACTTATCGTCAAGGCCCTGAATCAAATACACTTTTTTCACCTGTTTCTCTCTAGGTCCCACTACAGGAATTGTGGATGTCTCACTTCTGTGACTTTGTTAACATTTCTTTCTCTATCCAAAATATCACACTTGACCTTCTCTAACTATTCAAGCTGTACTTTTTGTTTTAATCCCCCTCTTTTTGAACACTTGGATTCTCATTTGAATTCAATAACTTTTTTTCCCTCTGAATGCCATTCGTTTCTGAACATGTAGTTGAAATTCCAAAATTTAACTATTCATCATATACCAAAGACAGTACATCCAGGACACAAATTCTGGAGTTAGTGTTCCATCACTTACCAATTGAGTGATGGTGCCATGCTTCTATTTTATCTTCAGTAAAACTGAGATAATAATAGTACACACCTCCTGGAGTTATTGAAAGAATAAAATGAGGAGATAGGTAGATAGCTAGATGGTAGATAAAGATATCACTTTATCGCTTAGAACAGTCCTTAAAACATAGCAGACACTTAGAAAAATAGTAGATGCTATTTTATATTTACATTTGTAAATAACTATTCTCTGGGTAGCTGTGTCATTTCTTAAAGCGTAAATTATTTAAAGGCAGGCTACTGTCTTTCTGTAATCAATGGAGAATTCTCTAGGTCTTTGTCAGATAGGGGATACTAAATTGACTGATTGAAGAGTTTAACAGCTTTTTTTTTCCATTTAACTCTGTCCCCATTTCTAACATAGATATGTAAATTTCCCTCCCCACCATTTAAAATAATTGTGCCACATGCTGTGGGTCTCAATTTAAGAGGGTATCTAGAACTAATACAGGACAAAGGGGATTTGGAAGAAGACAGTGTACATAAGACTGGACCCCTATTGCATCTGAGGAAATTTTTGATGCCTTAAAGAGGCTATAGGAAGAAGTAGGCCTCTGAGTGCATCTTGGAGACTTGGTAGGTAGAATCTGATAGATAGAAACTGGGATATGGGTAAGAACAATACAGGTGGAGGGGATAGAATAAGCAAAAGCCTGGAGGCTACAAAGCCTGGAAGTGTGTTTAGGGAAATTGAAAGTCATTCAGTTTAGCTGGTAGGTAATGATCCTGTAGTATCAGAGCACAGTATTGAAGCAAAAACCTGAAAATTGAGGTGATTTGCCAAACTGAAGGGACATTCTGTTTTGAAATTGAGGGTCATTCTATTTCAGGGCCAATGATGTTTTTATTCAATATACAGTGCTTAAACATTATCATTGTTTATTAAACAAAAAAACCCCCAAGAATTGATATTGCATTCTCATTCCTGGGAATAGTGGGGGTCTTTATTCTTTTTGTAAGAGAAAAATGTTTCATTCTTAGAACCTATATATGGTCTTTTTGGATGAGTTCAGTTTTATATAGATGTTGACAGCTCTAAAAATAGCAGCACTAATGGTCCAGCTAAGCACGCAGTACAGCAACCTCAAAGGGCTTCCAGACGCAGGCAGGGGAGCTCTAAGTAAAACATGATTCCTGGAACTACCTTATCTGTCTTTATCAGTTAAACCCATAACTATATTCTGACATAGCCAGTTTCCACAAACACCATTGTGAATTTTATTTTCCTTTCATTCAGATGGGCTTATTTCACATTTTACAGGATGGGGGATGCTAAGTAAATTCTCCTGTGAGATCTCACGCCATTTTCTTTTTAACGTTACTGAAAAGTGTTTGGCAGGTTTGTCCTTTAATTAATCTGTTTATGCATCTGTCTTTCCCACCAGCCTATGAGTTCTACCAGGAGTTTCTTGAAATCTTTTGCCATGTTTCTAAGCATTGTCCTAAGGATTTTACATGGATTCACCTTCATAACAATTCTATGAAGTTGGCACTATTATGAATTCAGTTTCGCAAATTAGCGATCTGATGTATAGAGAGGGTAAGAAAATTATCCAGGTTATATAATTATTAGATGTTGGACTCAATCTATTTCTGGAGCCTGAGTTCTTAAATACATTGGGTTAGGAACTAGGACACTGAATCTCTAGTTCTAGGTTGGCTACAAACTAGCTGAGCAATCTTAAGCAATTATCTTAACTTCTCTGTACCACATTTCTTTATGTGTAAAATAGTAACTGCATTCTTTTACTGTATTATTGTGAGAATTATGTTATACAGCTGTGGGAAAGTGCTTCACACAAGACTTCGTACAGTCCAATTTTGTTTTTTGTTTTTGAGACTGAGTTTCACTCTGTAGCCCAGGCTGGAGTGCAATGGTGTGATCTCGGCTCACTGCAATCTCTGCCTTCCAGGTTCAAGCAATTCTCCTGCCTCAGCCTCCCAGGTAGCTGGGATTACAGGTGCACACCACCACACCTGGCTAATTTTTGTATTTTTAGTACAGACAGGGTTTCACCATGCTGGCCAGGCTGGTCTCAAACACCTGACCTCAGGTGATCCACCCACCTTGGCCTCCCAAAGTACTGGGATGATAGGTGTGGGCCACTGTGCCTGACCACATTCTAAGTTTTCAATAAATGCTAGTTTTTCTTTCTCTCCTGCCCTTCTTTGCTCTAAGAGGCCTATGAACCAACCTTGACCTTTCTAAGGCACATGACTTCGTGTCTCAGTCTGTGCCCAACCCCTGTGGACTAGAAGGTGCTTGCCCTCACTTGAATAAGAGAAAACACAGGCAGTGCCAGAGATTATTGAGAGGGCAGAACTGGATGAGGGTTATTGCAGCTGCCCTTCAGTGACCCATGATGGCAAGGGGCCATCACATCCATACGGGGTCCCATGTGGCCTTGCTGGGTGCATCCGCCTCCAGTCACTCTGTATTGCTAATGTGAGTTACACATGTAATTATCCAGGCAGCAGGCTAAAATACCTCCACAGACAGCAAAGTTTCATCAGCAGAAGGGCACATTTTGTTTCCTGTGACTCCAACAGAGTACTGCCGAGTGTTGCAGAGCTGTGGTGATTAATTGAAGGACAAATTAGAAAGTCATGGAATAGTATGTTGTCTCCATAACCAGGCCTTCATGGGTTAAGCAAAGCAAGAGGTTTAAGAGTGCTTCTGAGATTTTTAGAAATAAAAATATTCATAAAGGTGTTTTTGTGCTATGGGGTCTTCATCAGAATGTTTTTGTTCCAAAGAACTTAGGATCTATATTTGTGCAACTGCGTCCTTAACATTGACTAAGACCATCACTGAAAAATAAGGTGAGGAATGACATTTTAGATAAAAATTTTGTTGGAGAGCAATGTCATGAGTGGAATGCATGCATTTTGTGAGTAAGATATGTGTCTACAGATGAAGACACACACACACAGAAACACACATACACACACACTTGCAAAGACAAATATTGGATTTTTTGGAACATTTGAATGAAAACATTATTCTCTTGTTTTCATTGCATACATCATTGCTGTATTATGGTGGCTTCTTTCGCTCTCTAGTTGACCTTAGTTTCCTGAGAGACATCCCATAGCGTGGGTATGAGGCTAGTGACCTGCACCCCTTCTTGAGGGGAATGTAGGTAGCTGCTAAGCCCTGCATGCTCTGGCATATCTAACAAATGCCTGTGAGAATTGTGAATAGGTTAAAGGCATAGATGATAGAAAAAAAATACAAAAGAAAAAATTAAATGGATTATTTTAAAAATGCAAAGAAGATGGGGAGAGTAAATAACTCAGAATGGAAAGGGGGAAGAGAAGGAGGGGAGCATGCTACTGGCTATTATCTTAATAGCTGCACAGTGTCTGACTCTGTTAAAGGTGCTCAGAATGAATCTTAGAATATTAATGCCCATATTTTATGCCATAGCCTCTAGAGAGGTGAAAGAGAAGTCCAAAGATGGGCAGGGTTGCTGAGCCAACATTTCTAAGGAGCCCTTTTTGTCCGATTCACCTGCCATCTGCAGCCAGCCTCCATATAAACACCTTTTGTGATCAACCCTGATGGATTATTTGTTAGTTTATTTGTTGGGGGAGGGGAATAAAGAGAGGAAAATGTGGGAGTACATGCGAATTTAGGGTGAAGCAAAAGATTTTTAGCTACACAGATCAATACCACCTTTTTCTAGCTTTTTGATAAGAATGCCAAATAGAACTGAGTCAAAAATATCATTGATCAATGGATTGTATCTATTGCTTTTCCCTTTTCTGTATGGTTTTCCACTCCACCAGAGATGAAAATTAAATTGACTTGTCACTATTTTCTCCTCATATAGGCATTCATCTTGCTCAGGGCTTTATTTCTTCAAATTATTCCAATGGCTTACTTAACAGATGTAGTTTCTTTCTTAGTTAAATCAAAAGGTATTTATTGAGCAAGTACTGCTAATACTACCACTGCTACTGCTGGTACTGTTAATACTACTGTCTCTACTACTGCAATGACTGGTCTCATAGTGTTTTAGGCTGCCTTCAAGGTGCATCACCTTATTTAAATTGTACAACAAACCCTTAAGTTATGTACAATTATATGAGGAACTAGGTCTCAAAAGTTTTATAATTTCCTCCAGCTCGTAGTGGCAGGGCTGGACTCCAAGCTGAGATGTGTCTGGTTGTCCGGTTCTAAACCTTTCTACAGGTCACCTTGTAAAGAATAAGGATGGAGCTCAAACACAGATACATAAAGGAATAAAATTAAAACTTGTTCCTGCTTTTAAAATGTAGTGGTTGAAAAGCCAGAAGTATAAATAACTCCAGTTCTGTATAAATGATATTCTCAAATGCTGCATCAGAATCGCTTGGGAGAATTTATTAAAAACATGGATTCCTAGACTGCAACCAAGAACTCTTGGATGAGACTAAGGAATTTGTAAATTAAAAAGAAAAAAAAAGTGAAATTCTCTACTAATTTCAATGTCCAGCCAATTTTGAGAACTACTGTTTTTAATATTGAAACTACTGACTTTAATATTGAAAGTAAATATAAGAAAAGATGAAGTAGTTCCAACGAGAAGGAATGGGAATTGAGAATGGCTGTTTGAGGTTATCTTTATGGTTTTCAGGGTTATCCAGGTCTTAGAAATTACATAATGATTTCTACAAATGATCATCGGTAGCTTTAGACTAGTACCTACTAATTCTGTAAGTGATGATCCTCAACCCTTGCTAATTTGAATAGATCTTGTTATTTCAATGTGCCGTTAAATTGACAAACTTCTCTATAAAACTACGTAGTATGATCTTTCAGGTAACCTAGTCTGGTAATCTAGTTATCCGTGAACTATTCATATCCATGATTTAAAAAAAAAAAAAAAACAACTTATCATCATCTTCCTCCTCACCATCATCATCACCATTTTAAGTTATAACTATCAATATTTTGTTTAGATACATTTTTATGTTCTTGGTCAAGTCAGTTAACTTTTCTGGACCCAAATTTTTCCAAGTATGTAAAGAGGAAATTGAACTTAGTGACCTCAATTTTGTGTAAAGTTATGACATTAAGATCTTTAGGCATCATTTATTAGGAACCCAATTGCCTTGAGAAATTTTTCTTTCGTTGGGAGACTTACTCATCATTTAGTAAATATAGAATCACAACTTCAAAGGCCAGCTCTGGAATAATTAAGAATCTTTCTGGGCAGATTTAAGGTCTGCATCTGAATAGCTGTATATACAGAAAGCCTAAAGGATCAAAATAGTCCAGAACATTTCAGGACTGGACAGCTGGTGAGTAGGTAAAGGTTGCCTGTGCCTCACTCTGTCAGTCAATTTAATGAATATCAAAATCACTCATACACCAAATTGAGAAGCCAAGGATCTCATCTTGACTGAGAATCGGCACCTTCCAGAACCTGACTTAGTTTTGCAAGAGCAGTTTTAGTAGCTAAAAGTTTCACTCTCACCTGCTGCTGCAAGGACTTGCATTGCCAGAGTTGTGTGACTTCTCTTGTCCTTGATTATAATATGAGCAAAAACTGCCTTGAAAAGATAAAGATATTTTACAGTCTGACCTTAAGATGCTCTTGATGGTATGTCTGAAGGAAAAGAAGGAACGTCTGTTCCCAGATAGATTGAGTTCCTTCCTTATCAGAAGGGTTAAAATAAATATTCTTTCTCTTTTGTGGCTTCCTAGCATTTCTGCAGTAGATAAAAGGGGAAATGTGTGTTGGACTGAGAGTTATGAGGAATCAAATCCAAAGAGATGAGACAAACCTTTCTCTCTGCCAGTGCAGATCAAGTGTGAGTTTGGAGAAATAGAGAAGGAAGGATGTGCCAATCAAAAAAGGTTGACCATGGAAAGAAGAGTCACAAAAACAAGGGCAGCAATACTTGCAAAAACAATATCAAAGGAAAGTCTTGGCTGGCAGACTAAGTGTTCTAGCAATAGCACTAGTCCATGTCTTTGGCCAGCTATTGTAACCAGATGTCATTAAGCATTTTCATCATCCAATCACCTTCCTTGTTCTGATTCTAGGCCCCCTAAATCAACCTCTAATTATAATGTTCTTCCCATGGAGAAAAGACATTGGCCATGGCCAGCGGTTTGTGTGGAGTTGTCTTTCACATCATGAAGTAATAGACTCTTGTTCTTTTTAAAGCATTAATTTGGCTAAGAAACAAATACAAAGTTTATATTTAGATTGCATGTGAAAGCTGGGGAGTGGTCCTCTTGAGTACAGGGACTGGTTAGAAAGTCACTTCCTCATATAGTAAGTAGCCACTAGCCAAATGTAGCTATTTAAATTTAAATTGATTTAAATTAAACTAAATTAAAAATTAAGCTCTTCAATCTCACTAATCACAATTCAAGGGCTAAAAAGTCATACATAGCTCACGGTTACTATATGGAACAGTGCAGACTATCACACATTTTTATTGTCACAGAAAGTTCTGTTGTGCAGCTCTAGGTTAGAAAGTAATTCTTAATTCCTTTACCAGATTATACTTGGTAATCTGCAATGATATACTTAGACCTAGCTGTGCCTCAGCATGTCTATGAAATGGGAAGAAGGATGCTGTCAACTAAATAGGAATTATGTGGGCATTTTAATGTAATTGCTAATTGATGCTTTATAAATAGAACAAAGAATAGTTTGTATATTTAAATATTAATGTGAATCACATTCCCATTTTATTGTGTTCCGTAGGAACTCTATTTAACAATTTTATTTAACAATTTTAAACCTCTCCATCTTTCCAACTGCCTTGCTGTAGAATGAGGCAAAGGGAAATATTGAAAAGTTGTCCTTAATGTTGTCGAAGAATTATAGGCTACTGTAAATTTGTAAAATGTATGTTACTAAATGTGACTTTCAAATAAGCAAAGCTTTACCAGCAAAAGAACTAATGATGATATCTTACGTTTGTGTGCTGCTTTTCTGAAATGCTCTCACATGCATTCTTTGATACTTAACCCTTTGAAATAGTATATTATCATGCCCATTTTACATGTTCAAAAGTGATTTATTCAAGGTCGTAGTGGTAATGTCAGCAATAGAACCTGGGCTTTCAACCCCTAAGTTCATGTTTTATTCTGTTATTCCACTCTGCTTCAGTTGTTAGGACATGTATTATGTTTTAGGACAGGTGACAATAGAAAGAAAATAGAAAATAGAAATCTTGAGAATTTGGAGTCATGAAATATAGACTGGAAATATTGTTCCTCCAGGCCAAAAAGTAGACCTGAACCTTTGGAAGTCACAGGGAAAGAAACTGCTGTCTCATCTTTCCTCTCTGCCTGCTTCATTCACAGAATTTACCTTGCATTCATTCATTCATTAATCCAGTGTAGACTGAGCAATTATTGTCTGTCACACTTGTTAGGCTGTGATGATACAGAGAAGATCAAGACATGCCCTCTAATTTTGAGGACTCCACATTCCTCCGGGGAAAGAGATACATGTTGATTCATATCTTATGGCATAGATGCTGAGAAAGGGTTTATTGTAAAATGCTCTGACAACAAAAAAGGAAGGGGTGATTAATTTTGTCTAGAGGGAGCTTGTCCTGAGCAAAAGCTTCATACTTTGTATAGATGACATGTAAGATGGATCTTAGAGGAAAAGCAGGATCTAATAGGCAATTTTAAAAGATGGTAGGGGGAAAGGTTTTTAGGTAGAAGAAACAGCGTGAGCAAGTTTCTGTTGATTTAAAACAAATAAAAATAGTACCATTTATTGTGCTTATTTGGTTCCAGGCATTTTACGAATGCATTAAACATCTCTTTATTCTCATAACAACACTATGAGATAGAGATTATTATCATGTGCATTTTATAAATAGGGAAATTGAGGCTCAGAGAGGTTAAGAAGTTTATTCTAGATCAAATATCTAATAACTGACACAAGCAGAATTCAAAGGTACACAGCCAGATTTCAGCAATTTTGCTCTTAATCACATAGTGGTTATAATGCTGTATAGTCAATTTTATAATGTGAAAATTTTTTTCTTTTTATGGTATATCATAAGCTGTTTCTCAAGTCATTAAAATTCTCTCTAAATGCTATTTTAATGGTACAGAAACCCATCTTATTGATGCATTATAATTTGTTTAACTAGTCCTTTATTGTTGGACATTAAGTTGTCTCCAATCTTTTACTATTTTGAATAATAGTGCATGACTATTTTTGTGTATCAGGACTTCCTCAACAGGCCCAATCTAAAGGAGAAAGCACCAGGAGATTTTCTTGGTTCTATCACCAAGAATAAGAGCAGTCAGAGAAAGCAAAAGCACATACTAAATGCACTCTATTTTGGATTATATGCTTTGAGAATTGTACCCAGCATGTTGAACAACCCAAGTTGGCTCCATTTAGAGTCTTGAATATTTCTAGGCCTCTGGTACCCAGTTAGTATGTTATTTTAAAGTATTGCAAATTAGTTTTAATATTAACCTAAAAATAATTTAAAAAGTAAATCAGCTGAAAATGTTATTACAAACCCAAATAGAGGTGAACTTTGGATTATCTGCTCTTCTAAATTACTTATTATAGTGTTCTGTCCATTTAAGTGACTGCTGGCAGCTTTTGATTGCTTTGCCCTGAGTCAAATTTGGCAAAGAGAATGCAAAGGTTTAGGTTAAAATGTGAAACTTTTTTCTAACTAAATGCAATTTAAAGTATTAAGCTTCACTTCACCCATACCGATTATATATCTCTTTTCTTGCTTAGTGATGGCATCCATTTTAAGGAACAAACCTGGAAATGCTGAGCAAAGAACACATACCCTTCATTTCCAAAGGTTCATTTCCCACTCTTACTTTAGATTGACAATGAGTTGTAGTTCAAAGGCTGCCCTGCAGGGAAGCTCATATACCCTATAATTTAAAGGGCCTCAGACGACTCTTGGGAAACTTGGTAAAACATTCTATTTAGAGACATGCCTGCTGATATGACATATATTTTTATAGTTATACCCCTTTATTGCTGGGACATAAAACCTGTTTTCACTCAAAATGTTCCTGCTTTCAGAAAATAGAACAAGAGACATGCAGAAAACAGTGATTCTATTATTGTGTATTATGACTTTTGTTTTATAGTTCTCTTTTCCAACTCATCTCTTTTCCCTGCAGCTGTGGAATCTGGACAGCAAAATCTTGTGGACGTTTATTCCACTAAGCCCAGGGATGAGATGGCACTCAGGTTAAAGAACTAACATTTTCTGAACCCTTCATTAACTTTTTACCAGCATCAGGCCCTCTAAGTACAAGTGTAAGAATCCTTCATTCAATTCTTCACTCCGTCATTCCCATTACAAGCCATCTATATGATCAAAATTTCAGAAACACTAGGTATGCACTAAGAATTGTGTTACATGTTGCCAAGAATACAGACATGAATAAAATATTCTGATCTGCTCTCTCCAGCTCTCTCAGTAAATGACTATCCTTTGTAGAATTTTGCATACAGGAATATTCTCCACTGCCTGACTCTAAACATTCTAATCTGACTACACTTTTATTCACCCTTTCATCCTCCACTTCCTATTACAATGGGAAGAAGGAGAATGTGCTACCTTCTATTTAAGAATAATTCCTTCACTCTCTCATCCCACCCCAAACTTCAACCTATTTGAGGACAAAGATTGTACCTACTTTTATATACCATTCTTTCTTTAGGGTCTAGCACAATTCCTGGTACGTGATAGCCTTTCATGAATATTTGTTGAATAAACATTAACTATGCTATAGGAGATATTAGCTTCACATTGAAGCTTAGAAATGTACTGGGCACACAGTACAAATTCAAAAAAGCAACTGAAGATAAAGTGATTATATAGTAAAAAAAAAAAAAAAGCACTGAAATAATTTCATTACAAGAGGCAGAGATAAAATATTATTCTGAAGAAGTTCAGATTATCTCAGACTGGGGAATGAGAGAAGTTTCTTATTTGTGTCACACTTCAATCTATTGTAATATAGGTTTCTCTTGGAAAGTCCTTTTTTTTCTATTATCTTCTCTAGTGTAAATAATTCTGTTTGTTTTTCAACATACTATTACAAAATATTATGAGTGCAATTTGGAAATGGATATAGAATTGTGATTAATACAAATAATATAATTTTGGTAGAATTAAGAAATTTTTTTGTGTTTTGATATTTGCACTTTCATATCAATGTTATTTATTTTCTTTCTGTATTTTTTTCATGCAAGCTGGCACATACTTTCTGTATTTTTTTTTCGTGCAAGCTGGCGCATACTTTATTTTAAAGTATTTGAAGGAGATGAAGGATTACAGTAGAAATGGAAAATGAGACTAGAGGTTGTCATTTTTGTTTGAGTCAGATTCTATTTGGTTCAAGGGCATCTTGCCTCAGAATCTGGGTTTTCCTGGGCCTCTTTATTCAAGATGAACTAAGTTGGGATAGAATAAACCATACAGTATTTTAGTCCTAGATTTTAGAACTGTACCAGGTTTATGGCTGTCCTCTTGCTCATTTCTATTCTCTTTTCTTGACCCAGTTGTGTAAATTAGCTGATCTTAAAATGAAATCTACCAGCTGTTCCAATAAATACAATAAACTGTAAGTAGGACATATTATGAGGGAACTATAGTAGAATTATGTGCAAGGTGCATCCCCATTTGTATTTCTCTGGGAATAGGGAAGGATATTGGAGCTATGCACTCAAACAAGAAGGCTGCCTGTTCTTGATCTTTCTTTAAAAGACAAACTTGCTATAAGTAGCACTGGATATCTGGTACCATCTGGAAGTCTTAAAAACACCTTTAGTAGTGTATTTTGACTTATCTCCCTTTTCATTCTGGATTCTGTCACTCAGCTTCTGACTTTCGTCCTTTTCTTCCATGAGGAAATCACTCAGAAACACAAAAGTAACTCTTCTCCTTCCTTTCCACCTTTCCATCCTCCATCTTCCCCACCAATAGGATCCTGGCATAAATTTCTGTTCAATCTACTTCAGCATCACATGTGTATTCACTGTGATACCGTCAGCACCATGGCCTTAGTTTAAGTGCACATCAGCAGGCACTGGGGCTATTATGATAGTATTCTTGATGTTCTCCATACCCCAAAATTAATTTTCCCTAACTGCTGCTAGAGAAATCTTTCTTCCTGGAAAGTCAAATATACATCTGACTTTCCATGCACCTGCTTGAAATCCTTTATTTTGTCTTCATTTGGGATGAATACATGTGTCATCCTGACCCACGCTTCCCAGCTCAGTTGTTTCCTTTCCCATGTCTCTGCACCCTTATCCTCACTCATCCTTCATACTTTGAACTTCAGCAGATCTGGCTCACATGTTTCCTCGTAGCCACCATGTTGTTTCAAAAGGTTTTCCCTGTAGTTTCCTTTGTCCGAAACAGCTTCTTCGTCATGTCTGAATGTCTTTCTGGCTTTCACCTACTAAGGGAAACCTCCTGATCATGAACTTCCCCTTCAAACCCAAGCCCAATATCTTTACATATTTCCGCCTCTCTATATAATATTCCTGTATCTTATTCATTTTTTTATGATTATAAGCATATTGGATTAAATCTTTTTCATGCCTGCTTTCCCTCTAATTAACTCTTAACTCCTTGAGGGCACACAATTTTACTTATTGGTCCTCAACATGTGGCACATAGCGATAGCTAAGTATCTTTGTTGAACTGCAGAGAACGTCTTACCAAGTAAGCAGACCAAGTTGAGTTAGCACATGAGAGAATATACATACCATTAACCATGTCACGTTCAGTAACGTAAAAATCATTTATTACCCCTTCAGGATGATTCTTGGGAGGTTTTATATCTACTCTGACCCCTTATCACACTCCTCCATAGGCATTACACCAGCCACGTTATTTAAGTGATTCTGTTCCTGAAGTTCTTTTGGCTGCTTTAACAGTTCCATCAGTTCACACTTGCTTTTCACAATGATATAAGGGATAACAACCCAAATATCACACACCATGTAAAAGATGATTGTTCTGCGCATCCAGTTGTTAAATCTGTTGTGCTCCGAGTATGCCCGTGCCAATCCGCACGTACTGATTATTCGCTCGCAGGGTTAGTGACTGTAACATTTTTGATTAACCTCTCTGTACACTTCACAAGCACTTACTCTGGGCCATGTTCAGATCATGAAGATGCCCTAAATCACTGAGATGTTGGTGAATATCTGTTGACATAGTTTTTACCAGTGTGGAATAACTCAGTGCTCTTCAAATTCAAGGAGAGTCAAAATAGCATTTTTCTCTAGCTTTATTTGTTTTCATCTCAGAGATACTAGACACTGAATTTCAATCCAAAAAAAGAATAGAAAAAAATTATTTGAGATTACTTATGTAATGCCTATATGCCAACATTTCTGTATTCATAGCCACACATTCAATTATTTGGCACCAAGTTAGCCAGTCCTTTTAAAGTCTACTTCTTCAATGTTTACAATCCGAAGTAAGCAAAATGATGTTCATCTTTAATTTCACTTCTAAACTCTAATGGTGTATGGCAATTTTCTAAAAAAAATCTTTATTTCTCCCAAATATCTTCTATAGGAAGTAAGAAAGACTTCTGTTGTTTGCTTAATTTAAGCCAGAGACAACTTGACATTTCGGTTACTATTTACCCTCTTTGCTGATGAAGCCAGGCCTTTGCCTGAGATTGAGAAGCCCTCTCTTGCTATTTCATTTTTTTGGCATTCATGGGTGCACATTAATTTCATAGTTCAAAAAAAAATTAATTAAAATAAAAATACTCAGGATATGTGTAATTTAGAACTTAGAATCACTGATGGCAAATGTCAAAGTAGTTTAAAATTATAGATTCTCTGTTTTTGAAAAGGGATATATTTATTTTATAGGCTGACAAAAATGTATATGACTAACTTACAGGCTAGTCCTTCCTATTTTGTATATCCTAATGGAATCATTGGGAGATCAGTGCTACTAAAATGTCAGCTTTCACCCTGAGTGATATCAGCTGTCCATCCAACCATCATCCATCCCAATATTTTTTTGAAATCACATCATGTTATTTGTCTTCTACTGTGTTCCATGCACAAATGCCATTATAGGAGAATGGTTTTCAAAGAAAACAGATCTGTAACTTTGAATGACTGTTATGTTTTACTAAAGCAAACACGTGATAAAACACCATAGCCATCTGGACTAAATCAAATACGACTCATATTTCTAGTGAAAGGTATTTATTCAACAACAGTCTACAAAAAGTTATGAACTACCTCCTATGTGTCAGACAATGCATTAATCATTGATGTGCTGTTCTTCCTGTTTTAGAAAGTTAGCAGAATGGAGGTCTTTCTATAAATTGTGTCATAGGGGGTGGAGTTTTTAGAGGTGATTACCGTTCTAAGTAACTGTTGGAAAAACAACAATTTATGGGCTTAGAAAGATGAAGGCTGAGAACTAGGGAATGAAAAGAGAAACAGGTAAAATGAGCATATTTACAGAGCGACAGTGAGTCATGGGGGAAAAAAGTTAGTTACTTATATACAATTTTGCCTAGAGCCACCCCAGGCATGCTTACTTGGAAAGCAACATTCTCTGAAAATGTACTGCAATAAATAAACTGAACACATTATTTAGAATGCCACTGGTGATTACCATAACAAGTGGATCTTTTCTATTGCATTATTGGGTCACAATTATCAGTGCCTTCATTTCAGAACAGCTTCTTCCTTCTTGACAGATTGCCATGGTCTCTACAGTAAATGAGTATTGATTTAATATTTGGAGCCATTGAGCAGTGTCTGTTACAAAAAAGGACCTGAGCTAGAGTGTGTACCTATTCTTGCCTAGCAGAGCTGCTCTGGGTGATGGAAATGTGGGTGAATTTTTACCACGTCCACACAGCTGCAATCAACCATTTTTGTTTACTCTTTCACTGGGAGGAGCGATTAAGATTAGATTGCCAGTTCTGTCATGATAGATTTGTGTCAAGAAAATATCTTGCTTGCTCTATCTATAGAAAAAAACTATTATCTTTATAAGTTTTAAACTCATAATTTTATACTTGTATTCTAAGTTTCTTTATTCACCTTCTGAAGCCTTAATTTCCCATGGTTTGGCAGGAGTACATTTTACCATGAATATATGCATGAGAAATGGGGCCCAGTTATATCTCCAGTGACTCAATCCAATGAAATGCATAAATTTTAGGCCATTATTGAAAATATCTCCTACTCCCTTCAGGGTGGACAGCTTTCTCAAGAAACCGTTTTGGGAAAGATGTATAGTCTTGGAAATCAGCAAACAGTCTACCTGTTTTTCAGATAAAGAACATTAAAACATGTTATTGCTACAATCTTCTATCATCTTCCTTGATTATAAGTGTTCTAAGTCTTCATTATTGATTTTGTTTTATTTATTTTTGTTTGTTTGCTTTTTGGATGTCAGGTACAGAGGGTTGAATTAATCTTTCTCCTAAATTCAGTGTCAGTTGTATTAACAATAAGTTTGGTTGTCAGAGGGTCATATTTTCAGCTGTAGCCTACAAGTAATTTAATGATCTACTCTTCAGCCTTGGTAAAATACTTTAGGTGAGACATACGGGTGTAGCTTTTTATTGCATATTTCTATTTTTGGATTTTCATTTCCATTGACATATTTACACTAAAATGATCCTGGTTATAGTTGATATCAAATTTTCTTTCTTCCCTTTCATTTCCAAATATTAAAGATGTTATTTTAATTCCCAAAGTATGTGAAAAAGATACTCAATATATTAGCTTTTTTCATTTTAAGGTACAATAATATTCTGAGACTGAATAACCACGTATTAAAAATAATATTTATTATATTTATTTTTATTTTTCCTTTTTTATTAAGAGGGACAGAGATGAGCTGGAAGAGTTAAGTCACTTCCCCAAAATGAGCATTTCGTTTTCAGAGGTTGGATTGGTCTTTTGTGAATATTACATGCCGACTTATGTGATGAGATGAAGAGACTTGACAGATCATTGCTAGAAGTTTAAGTCAGCCATCCCCAAACTTTTTGGCACCAGGGGCTGGTTTCATAGAAGGCGATTTTTCCACAAACTGGGGTAGGGGGAGTGGTTTTGGGATGAAACTTCAGATCATCAAGTATTAGTTAGAGTCTCAGATCATCAGGTATTAGTTAGATTCTCATAAGAAGCATGCAACCTAGATCCTTCATATGCGCAGTTCACAAAAGGGTTCACGCTCCTATGAGGATCTAATGCTGCTGCTGATCTGACAGGAGGTGGAGCTCAGGCCTGCCCCTTACCTCCTGCTGTGCAGCTGGGTTCCTAACAGGGCACAGACCAGTATGGGGCTGGGGACCCCTGATTTAAGTGACTTTATGTGTTACAAATCAAGTCAATAGGAGAGCGGGCCCATTGTCAATAAGGCCTCTGAACACTTGCCCAGTGCTTTCTTCCTGAGTTGTGTGGTTTCTCGTGTTCTGTGTATTCAGGTTCAAACCCTTGGGAACTGTAGCCAAGTTCTTATTTTTTGCTGTCTGTTATGACTTTGCCTAAGCAAGGGGATGCAGCACGATGCTGCTGCACAGCCAGCATGCTTTCTTCCTTCACCTCTCTGCTAAATGAATGTGATCAAAATGTGCCTTGGACATGGGAACCTAAAAAATGGGACCGTGTTCCCTCATGGAGCTCAGTAATGTTTACTGAGCCCAACAGCTTGATTTTACTCAGTCTCTGCTGCCTTAATGTCTGGCTTCAGGGTGGAAGGTGGAAAGGGAGGGAATGAGGAATTGCTGAGAGGGACTCAGGCGACACGGTTAACAGATGGCCTTATTAGAGACAGTTTCCCTAGGCCTAAGTGAAGCCTTTTTGTCTGAGTTGGCAAGAAGTGGGTCATTTTCCTGAGCTGTCAGGCTCAATGCTTACCTGACTTGTGGCTGTGGTTGCAGCAAGCTGTTGGTTTCCCCACAGCCTTTCAGTTCCCTGAGATATGCTAAGGGTCTTGTTTTTCTGAGCCTTTCCACAGCAAGACTGGACTTCCATATAGACGATTTGTTTCTTTTCTGAGCTGTAGGTTTCTCATCATTCTGCATGCTTCTTGCACAACTAGTCACAGTTGGGGATCTCTGAATCTCTGCCCTTTAGCTGGGTCCAGTGCTGATGTGGTCTAATGGTCCAGTGATTCTGAAACCTGGAGAGCCAGATAAATATTTCAGAGTCTCGAAACCATCTATATACCCAGAAACTTCTGTACGTAGAATAAAGAGCAAGCCTAATTTATATTTGTATTGCTATTATTCTCAGTGTAAGTACATTTTACAATGAGCACAATTCAGATTAATTAAAAGTATTTCTGAAGGCATAGTGACTTTTTGTCATTGTGTACTTTCTCAGTCAGTCAGTGGATATTGAAAGAGTGACCATGTTCGTGTGGTTCTGCAGAATCTTTTGACAGTGTTTTCGTAATATTTGCTAAGAATTTACTCTCCATCAATCCTGTTTCCAGTACGTGAGACTCTGTCTCCTTTAGGCTCTACCTGTCTCAGATTATACATCAGTGACCTTTTAGCATGTCAATAGTAATCCTTCTCCTACCCACAGCTGTTTTGGAAGAATTCAGTCATGTCGTTTCTACTTCTCCCAATTCCCCAGTTCAAGGTCTTGTGGGTGGTCATTGTCTAGGGACATTGAAAGGGCAGAATACTTAAATGGTGAAGACAAAAAACAACTTTCAGCTCATTGCTTAAAAAGACTCTGTGCTCTGAGACATTTGCATAAGGCTATGTTACTCTATCATTTCTGCTGGCCAAAAATATATCTTTTTTAAAATTTTGGTTCCATTCTCTTTCCCACTCCCCACACCCCTTTCTTCATAAGTCCTTAAGTGTTTGGCAAATACCCACATGTAAGGGTATACATTGCTCAATTTTGAAAACCTCTACAAAGATAGATTGTGTCTGTTCCTTCTGCTTGCTATAAGGACCTGGCACAGAAGCAGAAACTCTAAATATAACGGGAAATAAACCAGTATCTCTAGATAGGCTCGTGTGAATTCAAAAATTGTAAGTGCTTAATTAAGCCCAACTTGAAAATTATTTCTGTCTCCAACAAGAAAAAGAATAGAAAATAAAGTGAAACTGTGCCTTGAAATTAGTTCTCAAAACATATATAACATACTTTGATAGATAAGGAAACAATTCTATGGAGCTATTTTTCTCCCTATGTCACAGATTAATGACTACATCTTTATAGATTGATAAGAGACCACAGAAATACATTTTCTACTGAACAATATTGTCCAAGATCCTTGGTATCTCTGTGCTTTCTCCTCCTCCTCCCCTTCTCCAGCAAACTCCAGAAATCAGAGAAAAGCCTCCTAACTCCCAGTTTTTTTTTTCCCCCTTCTGAACACATACATCTCTCAAATGCATTCAGACATGTGGAGCCAGCAAATATAAAGCTGCTGGTTTTAAGTCCATGATTTACTTGCTAAAACTGGGCATGATTTTGGGCAGAAAACTAGAGAGGGAAACAGAAGGAGGGTCTCTCCCTTCTGTCCGTGGCTCTGCAGGGATTTCTGTTGGAACCAGAAGAGAAGAATTAGACAGAAGGTTTCTTTAGCTTCCAAGAGAGAGTAAGTCAATTGTTGTATTATATTTTAGGTATCTGTGTCTGCAACAAAAGCACAATGGATAGCTAGATGGATTTATAGATAGATAGACAGACACCTAGATGAATGATAAAGAGAAACAGAACATACGTTGAGGAATTGTTGAAGAAGCATGCCTTTTGGAAGATTATTTGGCTGCCAGAGATGCCATGCATAAGGAAGATAAAGGAGATAGAGCCAAGAAGCAGGAAAGCTGGTATGACTACAGAATTAGTGGATTCTGGAAGAGGAGAAAGGGTGTTGGTCAACAGGGTATCACTGAAGAAATATAATGAAGATAAAATTAGAAAACATGAGCAAAACTAAAATACTGTGTTTTTTCACTCATCCTATAAGTGCAAAGGATGAATATTTATTTCCTAAAAAATAATTTTCACCTATTTTATTTTTATTACATACAAATAAACCAATGTACAGAAAAGTTAGTTGACTTTTATCAATTTTTTAGTGTCTTCAAATCACCCCATGTTTTGTTTTGTTTTTCTCAGTCTATCCAGAAAGACATTTCCAGGATAAGACTGACAAAAATAAGGTAAATGGATTGAAATGTAGGATGGTATATATTCAACCCCAAACTTGGCATTTAAATTTTAGGTACAGTATGTCAAGTCAATAGAAAATATGGTATCATATATTATCACCTGTACAAGAAAAAATGTCATTTTGTTTCCAAAGGGATAACATAAAGGTTTCATGTATCAAAGAAAGTTTATGTTTTTAAATAATCATACAGTATTTTCTTTAGAAGACAAGGTGATGTCATACCTCTGATGTCAGCTAGGGATCTCACTATCCTTTGTTATCTAGGGTGAATTTCTTTGACCACCCCAATAATATCCAATCCTGGAAAAGTTCAATGGTCTCTCCAAGATTTCAGTGACCCCTTTTGAAGATTATTAATAATTCCCATGGATTTATTTTCTTAGTTTTCTTCACCTCTACATCTTCTATCTATATAGCCAATCTCTCTTTCACCTGTTTTCAATTTAAATACAGGATTCATTCCCTTCACTGGGATCCACAAGAAACCTAGTCACAACATTTTGTTTTGTTTGTAGACTCCATAGAAAATTAAGAAGCACAGTCCTTGATGCTCAGAATCCTGACATATTTCTTTCCATACTTTTTACTTCTTCAAAGATAGGCAAGAGATACGAGGAAAAGAATCCTATGAGGACATTCAGAACATGTTGTTTTTAATTTAGATCAGCCCCTAAAACTATGATCTGGGGCTTGTCATTTAAGTTCCACAGGACTGCCTTCTTGTTTATGTAATAACAAATTTGGACTATTTTTCCATGTTCTTTCATGGTTGCAGATTCCAAGGTCCTCCATGGCGTAAGGGTTATGCCTTCAACTTTGAATTTCCCACAATTCTGGGTATAATGTATTACCCATAGGAGTAGAGCCTCAGTAGACCTTTATGGGTTTCTTTTTTTTTTTTTTTTTTTTTTTTTTTTTGAGACAGAGTCACGCTCTGTCGCCCAGGCTGGCGTGCAGTGGCGCAATCTGGGCTCACTGCAAGCTCTGCCTCCCGGGTTAACGCCATTCTCTGGCCTCAGCCTCCCGAGTAGCTGGGACTACGGGCGCCCGCCACGGCACCCACCACCATGCCCGGCTAATTTTTTGTATTTTTTTAGTAGAGACGGGGTTTCACCGTGTTAGCCAGGGTGGTCTCTGTCTCCTGACCTGGTGATCCGCCTGCCTCGGCCTCCCAATATGGGTTTCTTAAAGATAAATCATTGTTCTGTGTAAGCCTGACACCTGAAGAACCCTGTTGGACACTCCCTTGCTTGAACAAAGCAAATATTGCTGTGGTCAAACAGTATAGTTCTGGGCTGCTCTTAACCAAATCCCTTTCAGTGGGGGTTGTTTGCAGAATATTTTTACAGTAAAATAAAGCCTTTGGGGTTTAAATAATCCAGAAAATGTAGCAGCTTTGTCCTGTTCAATACAGCTAAGAAGAAAGTCTTCTTTACACTCAAAGTTTCAAAGACTGGGACGGAATTAGCTAAGAGAGTAGAGAGCTACGACAATAGCTGTTCATTTCAGGCTCTAGCAATTGATTTGATTTTTCCATCTATGAATTGGTTATGGTGACCGTATTCATATTCACAGTGTTTCAGCTCTTCCAGCACACACAGACATGGACTTTTAAACTTAGCGGGAATGAGTGTTTTATTATAACCTAGATTTTAATGTCTCATCCAAATTTATACAAGCAAGTACATAAATTTCCTAATGTACTATTCTAAAGGCACAAATAACACTCTAGTCCCCTTCTTAATCTGAAGTCTGAACTGTGGGAGTTTATTATGTATGTTTTCTCACAGGGTATCTCATTTATGCATCTATTTACATAACAAAATAGTCATAGAAGCTTCCTTTTTGGGACTTGGAGGGTCAATACATAATACCTTTTTGTTCCCCTTCTAAATTCTAATTCAATTAAGACACAAGACACAAAGACAGATATCTCCTCTGTCTCTTCTGATATGAGATGGTGATTTTAGTATTAGCAATAATGCCAACTAAAGAATGGAGCTATAGAACTGTGACTAGAAGGACATGCTAACACTTTCTGTCCCTTCTATCTCCCTCCAATTCCCTCTGTTCCTGGTGACTAGACCTTGGGACTGACCACATAATAGAAAGTTTAAATCTATAGAATGTGTACACTTACCTAGAATTATAGCTTTATGCTGTTCAAGATGAGGAAAAAATAAATTCCTATAGCTAGCAAATTTTAAATAGATTAGTTCCAGCCAGTCAGGAAATGTGGATCCACGAATGTCACCCGATATTGAAATAACTCAATCTTGGAGAGTCATAAGGCCAAGGTATCATTGTACTGGAAGTTCTTGCAGATAGAAAATAGAAATCAGCAAAAAGAGGCTCCCCTCATCCTTACTTTTATTCAGAATTTAAAAATTCCTTTAGCCTTGGCCAGATGTATGATTCCCCCTCGAGTAGGGTAAATACACAATGCCAATTCTGGCTACTTTTTCTTTTTCTCTCAACTATAAAGATATGATTTTCATGTCCTATTTTATCATTTTCTTTCTTTTAGTATTTCATCAATCTTTTGTGTTCCATACAGGGGCATTCTTATACCCCCTAAAGCCAAAAGATAAAGTCAGTTCTATTAGTTTTTTATTTCCTGCTCTCTTGACGATGAGTTTTAATTGAACTTTGGGAAAAGATTGTAAGAACTATGCAGTTGCTATAACTCCTCTGGTCTGGCTTGCAGTCAGTATAAATGCTGTAAGTTCAGTTGGTGACAAATTGAATTTTACACACTCTGTCACCCTCCTTCACTATTCCCCATGCCTAATCACAGCAGGTTTGAAAGTTAAGTGCAGGTTACCTATGTTATTTCATGTTAATGGTGAAATGGCTGCTTCTATAATAAATATCCCACATCAAATATTATCCACAGAATATATAAATTAATTTTAGCTTCATAACATTTCTTAATATTTAAATTTAAATGGCGATCTAAGCTTGTAACGTTGTGTGTTACTTTTAATATTTTGAGGCACAATAGGAAACACTGATTACTATAATGCTGAAATTTGTATGAATAGTATTTAAAAATCACTGCTGCTATGGTAACCAAAAAAAATCTTTGTTCTTTATTATAAGAGTCTGTTAAAGGATTTCTTTTTATTTCAGATTGATTTTCATATGCTTTTATTCATTTTTTATAAAATGACTTTTCTGAAATAGAGGTGATTATTGTTCTTATTTCTGAATCCTAGAACATTCAAATCCTTTAGTAAACTGTAGTAAGACTCAGCAGTCAACATTTGGAATAATTGTAGTAAAATCAAGACCCCAAATTGCATAGAAATATTATTTTCCAAACATTGTCCTTCCAGCCTATTTTATGAAATTCAACCATTAATAGTTGACAATCTTCATGTGAATAATCCACTGAGTGGACTGATTGGTGCCAGTGTTCAATGTCAAGTAGTTGTACCCCAGCTACCTATGGGTCTGGCTTTTTTACACCCTGGTGGTAGTAGGGGCGTGTGTGTGGGAGGTGCAGATTGAAAGTGATGATGATCATCATCATTATTACACATTCTATCATGTATTCAATTATTCATTTATTCATCCTTTCAGCTAGAGAATCAAACAACCAATGAAGTAAATGACTAATACATACTGAGGACACATAGCTGTCCTCATACATGTAGTATATAGTATATACATATAGTATATATGTATAGTGTATCATTATGTTGCATGTCACCTGAGAGAGAAAAGAGTACATTTTTTAGTGTTTATTTGTGCATTCAAAATAATACATGCATATAACTAAAACCGTCAAAGTATAGAACAATTCCTGCCTTACCCCCAACTCGGAATCTTACTTCCCACTTTTAACAGTTTCAGTTCTGGTTTAATTATTATGCTGAATAACTCCATATATCTCACTATAGTGCTTATGCTGATGCCTATATATTTATTAACTTTAGATAATATCTATTGATTTCATGTTATAATAGATAACAACTTTGCTTATTCAAACTATGCCCTCATTTTCCTAACTCAATATGATAATAAATCTCATCTCAATTATTTCACTAGTCACCTCTGTATGAACTGTCTGCGACTAAATTCAATCCTCCATTTTTTTGTTCTATGAACCATATACAGTATTTCTTAACCCCCATCTTGTAAGTTAAGAACAGTTGGGATTTCTGCCTGTCTCTCTACTTTGTTTCTCACCTTTAAAAAAAAGTATTTAATGAAAATAGAAAATAAAACATTATTATTCTACCTTTGTATAGCCCTTCATAATTTGCAAAGTTTTTAGGTTTCAGGGCAATCTTCAGGACAACTGATGCCCACCATTAGAATTTAAAATGAAGGGATATCCTTATATGGATATCAGATACATCCTTGGTAAAGTTCCCTGGTGTGAATACAATATGGATCTAGTACTGAGGATCAAGACCTTTGAAATAGAAATCACCTTGGTAGCAGAACCAGTAACATTGGACATCCAAAAGAGATGTTCTTATCTCACAGGGAAAAAAGCCAAACATGAGCATTCTGAAGAAAATTATGGTACATATGATAGGGTGAAGGTGTTAAAATGAACCTCTTTGGGCTGGTGTTCATTCATGACATGGAAAGGAAATAAATAGAGAAAGAAATAGTTTCTGCTTCCTTTTGTTAAGGCTGACATAGCAGGTTTCAAGAGGTAACCCTCCCACAGGATATGGACTAAAAAAGGTTAATGGGATAGTCTTTGGTTTATTGCACATTCATATTATTTTGAGTTTTACCCTTACATGCCCTTAGGTTCACTGTGTTCTGAATGAACACTTTCAGGACAACAAAGAAACTATGTGAGCAAACCATTTAACCTTGCGAGCTTCAGTTATCTTCCATGGCAAATGAGGCTGGGAACCAAAATCATTTGTGAAGTCATTTTTTAGTGTTAATTTTGATACTGTGGATCACCAGTCAGGAGGCCAGATCAAGTACACTGAGTTGAACAAAAGATCTATAAACAAAATCGTACATTTGTAAAGCCCGCCACAAATTATAAACTCCAATGGTCCCCCTTGCCCTATTGATTTCTCAGGACAACCCTGGAAAATTCACTGGGTGCATTTGCTCAAGATTTTATAGTTAAATAATGGCTGGGTTCAGATTAGAGACCTGATTTTCTGTTTCCTAGTGGTATTTTTTCTAACCCTCTGATATAGGCAGCACACATTTATACAATGTCATTTATCCTTATTTATTAATGATTTATTTACATCATTTCCACACAGTTTTTGTCCTGAAATCACCATTTGAGAAGTTATGGCTGGAATCATCTTCTTTTCATTCTTATGTGCTGCTTTTGCGTAGTGAGACCCAGGATTAAAGATGAGTTGACTTGATGCACGGACTGTTAATATATTGAGGAGATTAGGAGCCTTGTCAGTGTGATATTATTTCCTACTTGTATTTAATTATAAAATGTACATTCCATCTAAACTGCAGAAATGAAATAAATAAAAGAAGTAGGGGAGATTACCAAAGATAAATTTTAAATTAACTCACTGCTCTGAAAGTCAGGTGAAAAAATACTGTTTCTTGTACATCTTTTGCGAGTGGTACCATTTTATGTTGATGATTGCTGAGTGGTGATCTTAAAGCTTGGGAAATTTGTAGTAATGAAGAAGAGAATAAGAAAAGAGATAAAGACCAAAAGTCCAAACAGTTGTTGCCTGGCAGATTTCTCTATAAAAACAGGAGCTCTGCTGGGCACTTCTTTGTGTGAATTAAGGATTATTTTTCCAGAAAAACTTCAGGTTTATGCAACTTCTAAAGTGTGGCCTGAAAATGGATGTGTCTGTTTTACAAATGGGGGTCACTGCCAATGTTTCAAGTACCTTAGAGTCAATCTAAAGCCATGATGAGTGTGGGAAGTTACAATGGGGCATCAGAAACACCTGGGCCATATGGGAGGAAAGAAAGAAACCATCAAAGCTCACTTATAGATCTGAAGTGAAAGTTTAGATAGATCCCTACCCCCTATTCTAACTCAGGTCATTTCCCAATCTAATGTTATCTGTAGCAAACCAGTTGAAGCCAACTAATAATTAGAACAAAACATCTATCCTGGTCTCATAGAATATGAGAAATTGAAAACATTCCAAGTATCATCTAGGCCAAAGCACTTATTTTGCAGGTGAAGATACCGAAACCCACGGAGGTTAAGCGTCTTGCCCAAGGTTAAATGGTTTGTTAGTAGCATATCTGGGATTAGAGCCCAGATCTCATGACTTCTAAGCCAGTGCTTTTGGTCAAATTCAACATCGTCTGCCCATATGGCCAAACCATATGGCAGAGTCCTCAAAGACCTAGCTATACTCCCAGAAAATCTAAGCTGACTGTTATCTTCTCTTCAATTTTGTTTCCAATTCACCTATCCATATATGTGAACTCTAATTAGAAAGGCACAGATTTATAAGTTGGAGCATATATATTCAAAGGAGTAAGTAGGTTAGATTGGGGTAAGGAGACAAAGAGGAACAAGCCCAGTACAGATAATGACTTGAGAAAAGACATAAACATGATAATTTGACTGGTGTCTTTTGCAACCATTGCGAAGATTAACAGTTTCTTGTTGGACATAAGGGGTGCATAAACTTAGAGATGTAGTTCAGAGTCAGAATATGAAGCATCTTCAGTGAAATTTTAGAGTTTGGATGGGACCATGTGTGCAAGAAGAGATACAGGAGATTTTTTAAGAGAACATTGGCTTGTCTTAACCATTATTAATTTGATTAATTTAATAGCAGACAATAGGGCTGATTGATTATATCAAGGATAAGTTAGAGGCATAAAGATCAACTAGGAAAGTTTATTTTATTATTATTATTATTATTATTATTATTATTATTATTATTTTTGTGAGACAGAGTCTCGCTCTGTCACCCAGGCTGGAGTGAAATGGTGCAATCTTGGCTCACTGCAACCTCCGCCTCGCAGGTTCAAGGGATTCTCCTGCCTCAGCCTCCTGAGTAGCTGGGATTACAGGCACACGCCACCACACCAGGCTAATTTTTGTATTTTTAGTAGAGATAGGGTTTTACCATGTTGGTCAGGCTGGTCTCAAACTCCTGACCCCATGATCTGCCTGCCTCGGCCTCCCAAAGTGCTGGGATTACAGACGTGAGCCACTGCGCCCAGCCAAAAGTACTTTTATGTCTAGATAATTTTACATATGTAGTGGGGAAGATGGGGGGGAATTCTTCAACTTACAGATTTCAATTTTTAATATCCACTTGTTTTTGAATGTGTTACAACATAAGGAGTGAAATTTAATATTTTCCCTGTGTCAATGTAAGAAGGGGCAGTGTGCAGGGACATGACATTGAAAGAAACTACCACATACAGTGTCTCCTATAAACTAAAATGCTACTACTCCAATTCCTTTTCTTGAAAGTCACCATAGGCTACTTGAATTAGAGATCTTTTTGACTAAATGAGGGAGTTGTATACCCACTCAAAGGTGCCATTCTAGAATTCATCAGATTGATTGATACAAAAAGCTCTACACAATAGGGTAATTAATGATTTACTAATCAATCAGAGTAGCCATTTCTGGTATTTATGCTAGGAAATATAAGAGGATAAGCCAGCAACTAATGAAAAGAGAAAATAGAGGAAATCCAAAGAGAAAAAGAGATGAGGCAAGTAACTAGTTCATACAGCTGCTTTGTACTGTGATAGCTTTTTAATCCAGGTTTAGCTTCAGGCTATACATGTCTTTACAATAAATCCTCTTTTCCTAAGATAGCGTGAGTGACTCTCTTCTTTGTAGCAAACTGATAAGCATATCGAGTTAATTTTTAATATGGCCAATTTGATAATTAAAAACTTAATAAGCAGGTTTGTGCTGGGACAGTGAACTAAAATTTCCATTTAAATGTGCCACAAAGTGACTATTGAATGATGTATTTCACTTATAGGATCTTACCACCGAGGCACTCTGACTTTACAAAAGGTCAGATAGAAGGGTTTTCTGGGCCTCTAGTTAGGCAGTGGCATATATAAAAGGAACAGAGTAGAAAGGTAGGGGAAATTGATTGCAAAGTCAGTGGGTCCTCAGCAGCCTTTGCAGCACCATTTGGCCATTGACCTAATCAAACATTTTCTAAGTTTGTTATGACAAACTAAGGCATGCTGTAAATGTTAGTGGATATTCTGTTTTCTTGAAAAAAAAATTTGTTCTAAGTTAAATACAGGTAGAAATTGCTGTTTAAACAAATTAAGCAAATTAAACAGGTTTTAGGAAAACGGCTTTTCAGAGCCTTTCATATGTTATGGTACATTGTGAATATCTAAAAAATAAAATAAAATGTGTAGCAGTTTTCAAATGTTTGACAATGAAAGTCCCTACCTTCAGTTTTTGAGAACTGCTTATTTATATCTCAGAGACATACCAGTCTTGATTTACTCCTTTCTTTTATAAATTGGTGTGTTTTCTTTTGTGTTAGGCTTTCTCTGATTGCTATAGATGCTACTGATTGTTTCTCTCATGAAATTTTATAAAACATGATAAATAAACAAAACTCATGGTTCTATGAATTCAGTTTCCATCTCTAAGTGTGCACTGTATTGTAACATAAATCCTTACAAGCCAATCTAATAAACTCATGGAATTTAAAACTGGGAAAGCACAGATCTGGTTTTACTATGTGTGAAATGGTTTAAACATTTATAAAAAATTGAACTTCATTTATTCTCAAATGAACTGGCATACTGTTTGTCTCTCTTTGGTATTGAAATAACTTAATAAATACTAAGACAGTTTTGGAAGAGTACAGCTATTGTTTGAGGTCCCCTTATGAAAAACATTCTACCAGCTGGTTTGGTAGCAAAAGAAATTCTCACTGTCTATGCCAGGAAAATGAATAGTGCTGTGCTGTAAACTCAAGAGATCAAAGTGGCTGGGAAAAAATGTAGATACCGCATGTTTGGGGAAGTTAGCAAATTGAAACTCTCAGTATTTTCGGGACGTCATCACAGGAAACCTTCTGACTTTGTGAGGGAGAGAACAGCATAAATGGAATGAAGTTTTAAATCAGCTTTTTAAAGTTTGAAGATTAGAAGTTTCACCGATCTTCACTCTATGGGTCCCCAGTGAAGAATCAACAATGTAAAAGTAACCATATGTGAAGCAATGAACACACATTTTAATCCATTGCTTGTAATGGTCATGATGGGGGAGCAGGCACTGGCTAAATGGCAGTTCTGCCATTTCTCTAACAACTGTTCTGTGTTACCCACAATTAACGATACCTTCTCTCATCTGTCTTTTCTTTGAGAATCCATTCAGAGAGGAAAACAGAAGCAGCAGCAGATGTGAATGGGCAGAAAGACAGGGATGGTGCTCAAGGGTAGTTTACCTCTGCTCCAAAGAGAGCATGAGTGCCACCTCCATGTGCCTTAGTTTGCATTTTTTTCTTACTCTTTTCCCTATTCGTTCCATCTAATATAAACAAAACACTGAAGACACCAGGATCATAGGCTCTACCTCCTTCACTCTAAAACAAAGAAAAGAAACATACCTGCCTTCTTTGATATGGTCATAGTATCTTACTTTTTTTTAAATCTTTTTGCCTCCCTTCTATAGAGGCAGCACTCTCTGTCCTCTTTCAAGGTCAAATTTATTAGAAATGGAGAGGAAATATCATGCTTCCTGAGTCTAAGCAAGCTGGTTTGGAATTGCATAAAGTCTGAGGCTTGTGCAGTGTTCTTAGCCAGGGAGGCTGCCCATTAACACTTCTTGTTGAGGGCAAACTAACAGCTCTATAAGAGCAGGCAGAGAAATCTGCATTGTGAGGTTAATGATTGGAGCATGAAATGATCAAACTGGAGGTGGGACTTTGGGATATGCTGGTGATGAGGTTGGTAAAGTTAGATAAATGGCCATTTATTTTGGTTTCTATTTTTTCCATTAGGTAAGGAGAGAATATTTTAACATTTCATTCCTTTTCTACATTTATCTTTTTCAGGTTTATTCTTCTAGTGGAGTTTGCTTTCAGAATTCTTAATATTTTACTCTTTACCTTTTTGTCTTAGGAAATGTTAAATCCACCAAGCTGTAGTAAGTGATAGAGCCAGATTTAACACACACAAAAAGGAATAAACATTTTACAGGCAGCTGCTCTTCCGAATGCACAAACGCTCATCATTACTGTATGAGAGCCTGATTATTATGCCCTCAACCCACTTGGACAGAGGGATTTGTGTGGATTGCAAATTAAGTCTTCATGCTTGGGAGTGCGTCTTCTCATATTATAGGGTCACATTGTGAGAGCTATAGGTGGGAAAATCACAGAGGAGTGCTAAGCAGTTTTGACCTGATCTCCATAATGCAAAACCATGCCAACATGTTAGCTGCAAACATGCATTTATGACTCTCTCTGCATGTGACACACTATCCTCCATATACATGTACACACACACATACAGAGATACACACACACACATCACCAAGTCTTAAACAGTTAACTTTAAAAAAATTACATATAAACCTTCCAAGAAAGCGCTACCAACTTCATCCAATTCTTGCTATATCCATAAGTGGCTATTACAAGGGAAGCAATGAGAGACTGGAGAGGAATATTCCATTTTATCTCTAGATGGTTATAGATAGAAAGGGATGAGGGAGTCACAGCTGGTGATGGCAGTGTCCTTTCCATAGACCTTTTAGGCCCTAGTTACCTTTTTTTTTTTTTTTTAACTTGAGAGATAATACACATGGTATGGGAGGTAGGCAATGCAGAACTAGAAAAAGTTAATGACATTAATATTTAATAGTAGGCTCTTCTACTGATAAAAATTTGCTAGATGCCAAACATAATTTTTTATAACAAACCTCTGCTTTTGCATGGTACAGATGATTTGTGTAACTTTTGATCTAAATAGTTTAAAATCACTAGTTCTTGTGGAAAAATGTGATACCAGTTCCTCTGCTAATCAAGGTAAATGAGCCGTAGTCAGATAGATGGAAAGACAGACCAAAAAATGAAAGGGATAAAAAGCTGGAGGAGGGTGAGTTAGAGGAAGAGAAGTGATTAAAACCATAGAAGCCTCATCTGAGGACATGAGCCTGAAAGAGAACAGCATCACTCTGAGCCTGAATTGCTATGAGAGCTGTGCCTTTCCATCATTTTTAATGGAATGTTATTAAAGACAAATCTGGAGTAGTCAACCCTTCAGTGCTTCCTCTTAATTTATTTATTTCTGCTGAAGGAAACCCTGTTAACCCCAGCAGATAATGTATTCAACAGCTTGTATCCATGGCAAGGTTGTTTCCTAAAAATTTTATGGGATAAATTTAGTTCAACATTTGCACATATTTACACATGAGGTCTCCATTTCAAGGTCTTTGGCTTAAGCAAGAAAGTCATTCCCAAGGCAGGATGTCTGCCAGAGCTGCAGAGTATATTCCATATGCATTGCAAAGCTTCCCTGTTCCCTAGGACATAGGAAGGACATTGCCTCAAATGCCCCTCTTCTCCTCCTGGAATTTCAAAGTTAGTTAGTCCAGGACTACTGTGAACCACAGGAAGCTTTCTGCAGTTAAGTCCTCTGGGTTTTGTCTCAGACCTAGACTGGCTCCCCCACAGTCTTTGTCCTCTTTTTTGTAAGCTCTAGAGATGAAGCCTGTTTTCTCTTTTAAACAACTCTATCCTTTCTAGGCCTCTTCCCCAATGAAACTACCCTGGAGTGGCACATAGTTTCGCTGTCTCCCAAATTCCTAAGACACACCAAATGCACAGGCCTTTTCCCTTTTAAGGGTTTTACAACTAACTGTTTTGTGTAGTGGGGTGAGGAGTGGAAGGAAAAAAAAGAAGGCATTTCTTTTTATTTTCCATTGACATTTAATGAGCACTTGCTATGCACCTAGCCTGATTCTAGACACTAGGGAATGCCACAGTTTGGAAGCAAAGTAACTATTTTCATGACTTTTACATTCTAATGAGAAAAGACAGCAAATACCATCACTTGTTTCTATATAAATTCTGGGATGAAAATGAAAGCACAAGGAATGGGAGATGTTTTAGAAACTATCCTTTAAAAAAAAAAATACACATTTCTCAGGAGCAGTTACATTAGAGCAGAGTCCTGAAAGAAGAGGGAATGAGCCATGCAAAAGTTTGGAGGTAAAACATTCCAGGGAGAAGAAATGACATTTACGAAGGTTACCTGGCATGGATAGGCTTGGGCTGCCTGAGGATTGGCAGACTCACCCATATATCTATAAGAGAAAAAGGGAGACAGAGTCTGGTGGGAGATGGGGTTCCTGAAGATAGGTCTCGATCACCTCCTGTAGAGACATAGGCCAATCAGAAGTTGTGATTTTATTCCATGAGTGACGGGAGGCCATTGCAGAACAGTGATATGGGATTATTTACATTTTAAAAGATCACCTGGTGCAAATGGGGATGGGGAAGTTGAAGGGAGTTCAGAACCACTCAGCCAATTTGGAGCTGAGCCAGCCCTAACACTCAAGCTTCAAACCAGTCGTAGTGATCAACGATTTCAGTCTTGACTTTGAGATTTAGACCTTTGCTTTCTTTGTTGTTTCTGTTATTTGTCTTTGAAAGTAGCAACATCATTCAGTCATTTACTACTCAAAGGTACTTCACCACAATGCAAAGATGTCTTAGAACATATACTTGCCATTGTATATTTTCTTTTCATAATTGTGTCATATTTTATATTTCTTCAAATAGCACTGATGAAGAGACAACTAGATGCTTTGGTATTCTGGATGAACTTGTGGACTTGATCATTTTTAGAAATCACGTAGTTGAATTTCAGATGGAATTGGTCATTTTAGAAGGATTCTGAAGTTTGGAAACCATCCTTTGTGTTCTTTGGATTGAGAGCCCATGAGATAGAAGTGATTTCCTGGTGGGCTGTCTTATATACAGCAGGATGACAGCCATCAAGGAATTAAATGCAGGGTTTATCCTTCCATCAATACCAAAAAGTGTAAATGCCTTGGTTTGGAGTTAAGGGTGAAACATAGAGATTTCACCTGGTGGGAAGAAAGAAGATAGGCTGCATTTCTGAGAAATGGTCCACAGCTTCTATGATATAGTAGCCTTGGAGATGATGAAATTTATTGTTAATTGTTAAACCAGAATCATGCAAATGCATTACTAGCAAATTGCATGCCTTCCAAGGTCCTTTTGAAGCCTAAAGAATGTATACATTATCTCCTAGACAAAAATTATTTTTAAAAAAGAATCACAAAACTATACTGGTTTCATAATGATAGATGTGTGAGATTAATATATTTTTAAAAACATTATTTTTTGGCATAGAACTTTGAATTTAAACACCAAGGTAGTAAATTGCCCTACAAGAGGGAACATGACTTACAGGTAAGCAACTTCAGGCATGAAACAATAGATCTCTTAGTGGAGGGGCTCTAAAATCATCAGCCTCCTAATCACCTTTACCATCTTCAATTTTAGAAGTCATAAACTATGAAAATATTTTTTACATGCATCCTGGTCTTCTCCTCCTGACCACATATTAAAACAATCACAAACTTATATCAAAGAAATAAGTTGAGACTATTTTTTAATTTTATTTATTTATTTTTTTGGGAGACAGAGTCTCACTCTATCACCCAGGTTTGAGTGCAGTGGCGCAACCTCGGCTCACTGCAACCTCCGCCTCCTGGGTTCAAGCAATTCTTCTACCTCAGCCTCCCAAGTAGCTGGGATTACAGGTGTATGTCACCATGCCCAGCTAATTTTTGTATTTTTAGTAGAAATGGGGTTTTGCCATGTTTCCCAGGCTGGTGAGACTATCTTAATTGGAAGAAAAATAAAAACTAAGGAGGACTGAGGAGGAAAGTGCCATTTTCATTAGGCACATACCGTCACAACCTCCATCTGGCTCTTACAAAACACAAGATTCATAGGGTTCATTATAAGCCATCTTTATTTTTTGATTCCCAGAATCTCTTTAAAATTTATTCACTGGGATTATTCTCTTATGCCCTTGACCAGGAATTTTCTGGTCTGTCTTAGATAATACAAAGCTAGCCCTAAAGTAACGTAGCCAGATGAGGTTAGATAAGAAAAAGTCAGCCCTAAGGTAACTTTAAGCACAAAACTTAGACTTTATTGAAAAGTAAACTGTCAAGCCATATTAGTCAATAGTTTTTTCCTCTATCTCATGCTAAAGTGTAATTCAGTCAGGGAAAAGGGATGCCTTTTCCTTATTTCCCTCTCCCATTCTTCCCACTCAACAACTGTATACTTGTCATGGTTTATTTTATCTTCATAATTGTATCATATATTTCTTCAAATAGCACCGATGAACACGTAACTAGGTACTTCAAAATTCTGGAGTTATAGGTACTTTTCCTCCTTTCTTTCTTTCTTCTTTTTTTTCTGAAATTCTAGGTACTTTTTTTTTCCTCTCTTTCTTTACTTTTCTAAATCATTTTTCTGGGATTGGGACTTTGGGGAGGGAGGAAGAGTAAGAAGAACTGGAAACGTTTTACCTTACTTACTGTTACAGCTGCTAGTACTACCCTCCTGTCATAGGTGGGAGAGCAGGGAGATGCTTATAGAAGGTGGCCAGCTGCCAAGGAAGGGCAACTTGTTATGGAATCTTGATAGGGTCATGGGTGGGCAAGAGCAGGATGAGGGTAAGAAGCACCTTGCTGGGAGACAGACAGGGGAGAGAGTAAGGCCCTGAGAAGGACACTGACAAGGAGCACAGCAGTTTCATGAATTTGCCTCAGGTTTGTCTTGCCTAGCAGAAAGACATCAGCTTCTGTTTAGGTCTCAATGTCAACTGTAAAATGGGTTATGAGCCTCTCATTTTTTTGGGGGGTGGGGGGAGTATCACTGGGATTCCTAAGTTAATGGGAAACCTTCTATTTGATAAAAAGATGTATCACAACATCCTTAGCTTAGTTACATTCCAGAGCATTTTTTGCTGTGGTTGCTCCGTTGTTGTCTGCTTATAGTTAAAATCCACATGTCAGAAAATGTGGGATTGAGAGACTGGAGGCATCCATGTATAGAGACTACGTAAGGGACATGGAAGATGTGTTTCCTATTACTGCTACACTGAAGCCATTTAAGAAAGGTATATCACAACTACGTGTTTCACAAGGAGATGCTTCAAAGAAAAGAACATATTAAGAAAAAAAGAATGTTACAATGACAGACTGATGTCAGTTAAATTACTTTTAATGAAGAATTTATGTGCCACTAGTTAAAAGAACAGATTTTTTTTTTCAAATCCTAAAACTATAAGCTGTTTCCAGGGGGCTGCCTCCCCAAGATATATTTTGGATATTTACATGGTATTCTTGCTCTTACAAAACTGGGGTTGAGGGAAATCAAAGGCAAACAACTCTGACAGTCACTGCTATCCCCTTTCCTCTGCATTTTTCCCTCTGTCCTTGTAACATCAAACCAAACTCTCACTATTTCAATGAAGTCCTGCCCAGCATGAGCGCAGTCTGTTTTCCGAGCATGGAAGTTTACCAAAATTACCCTCACTTTTAGTAACAGGTGAAGATGTTTTTAAAGAGCATCTTGATTTTCTTATAGAAAATAAACAAAGCAGCAGCACATGTGTAATCACTTAAATAGCATCCCTTTCCACAACAACAGTGAAACTTCTTATTGACAGTGTCAGAAGGTTAATTAAAAAGTTGTTAATGTGAAGATGGATGTTTTCATTTCAGATTGGTACCTCTCAAGATGTCAGTGTAACTAACATTTGTTGGTTAGTACTAAAATATGTCATAGACAACGTGGGGAAATACCCAACAGCCACAGAAACTTTAAATGTGGGGAGGAGGGTAATATGCTTCAGAATGCTGTGACACTCTAAATGAAATCATATTCCTCTCAAAAGATAACTAATGGCTTTTGATTTAAGAGTATCTATTTAACATGAAGAGATGGGCTCTTAGATTTGTATTTGTGCTGAAAGTAATAATAGTAATAGCATTTTATTATTTGTGTATCTTCTATATTACAACATGCTTTCATAGTCATGCTTAGTTCCCACAACTAAGTTCTGTAAGGTGGTGTCATCATGTTTATTTTCACAGTTGGTGGTTTAATGCACCTTCTAACTACCACGTCTGAATCTGGCAGTTGTAAAGATGAAATATGGCTCCTCTGTTTGCATTTATCAGTTATGATAGCTGTCATTCTTTCTAATTATAAAATGAGTAATTGTCATGAATGCAAAGGAAGGTATACTAAGGATTGTCTCACCAATTTTTCTAATAAGCACTTCTCTTTGAAAACAGCAAGATGTCAGCCCAGGTGAAACTTGAAAAATAGAAGGCAAAAGTTTCAAAGGAGATATAACTTATCCTCCCCTGCCTCTATTCCTCGGCATCCATACATCTTTAATGTCCTTCTTTTCCCCTCTTCAAACACCCTCAAAATTCTCCTTCACAAATATCTTCTGTTCTAATTTTCTGTACTTCATGTCTTCCTTTGTTTCAGGAATCCCTTAGCTCTCATGCCTGTATTTTTTCCAAGTTTGCAACTGCTGGTTTTTCTTTCACCTTTATTCTATCATTTGCATCTATTTTCCTTTCACTCTTTCCTTCCTGTCTCTTCCCATTCTTTTTCTTTCCTTCCCTTTTCTTTCTCTTTCTCCTCCTTTTTCATTTGTGTGTTCAATGTCTTCCAGTTTATTGAGGATAGAATCATTTCTTTTACTCATTAGATGGGTGTTATGTCAGAAAAAAACTATCACACTATTCTGGGCTTTCTGTAAGAGGCAGCATGTTACTTGCAATCCACTGCTTAAGTTTGTGCCGAATGGCCACTTTCACTGGCTAGAGAAGAACAAACTGAGAATCATGATAGAGTGAACCACGACTGTTGGAAAGAAGGAGAAGCCCCTGGATATTAGCCAGTCACCTAGCAAATGCTGTCAGTTGCCCTCTCCTGTAAGTAAATCACATTCTCAGAAGATGTTTATTTCCAAGTCTATGAAAGTTTGTTCAGAAACCCCAGGCCCTAAGTATCATCGAATAGCACAGCATTTTAAAAACTCCCTGGCCAGCACCATAGAAATAGATGCCAATACTGGGTCTGTTTTCAGTTGATTGAATCCTGACCCGCAGCCAAGCTGCTTTAGGGAAGGAGAGCAATGTGGTGCATATCAATTGAAAATCTCAGTCGCCAAGTCCTTGAAAATGTCCCTCTTTCTCAGTTTAATACAAGAAAGAAAGCAGAGGACTAAGGCTCAGGAAGTTGAGTTCAGGTCTCTTCAGGTCTGCTCAGGGGTCATGTGATCCTGAGACGCTTCATTGCTCAGAACCTCCATGTCTTCATCTCTGTAGTGAAAATATATGCCATGCTTTCTTCACTCAGTTATCATGGTGGGAACTAATGTGATTTCGGTGAAATATGTGAAGATTAAAAAGTTGTTATGTATTGATTTAATACTACTGTACTTTCTATTTTTTTGTCTTCATGGTGTAAATGTTTCTGATCAGATTCTGTTTTCTCTTACGTTACACCAGAGTGAAAAGTTTACAAGCATCATCAGTAATTAAAGCCACCAGTATTTATTTTTTTATGTGTGAATAATCCCATGTAAATGCCTGTATTACAGACATAATATTTGGCCCAACTCGGATTTTTTAATGATTGTTTCTTAACTGGTATTGAACTTAAATAATAGTAAATGTTTTCAATGTATTATTAACATTTACTAGAACAGTTGACATTGAAAAAATGGGCAAGTGCAGCTAATCTATCATATGACATATGAAAATCATTTATAGCAGAGTTCAATAATCATTAACTTTTGGAATTTTGGGAAAATGCTTATCATTTTCAATGACATTTTTATGTTGTATATGAAAACAGATTTTCAAAATTCAATACAGATAATATATACTCAGCAGTCAGCAATCTACATGTGACAGTATTATTACTGAACATAATTTTATGTCTACAATAATTACAAGCAATAAAATATAATAACCAAGAATATTGTTTCTTTAGGCAAGCACATATTTTCCAAATATGAAAAATTTGTACCACTTTTCAATATTTGAGACTAGCACAAGCAAAAATCAGTGTAGAGAATCTTTCACATGAGAGTAGATAGAATAGGCTCCCTACTCTTCTACACCTGGCTTTAGTCAAAGACTAGAGTTATATTGAAGATGTGATGTTTATACAAGGAGAGAAGTATACTTTCTGGACAGCCAAGAAAGCTAGTAGCCAGGGCATGCCATCATTTTGGAAAGCCTAGTTGGAAATCAGGCCTTGCAGTGAGAAGGAGGCCATTTTGCTTTAGGCAGTGCTCTTGTGTGATTGTACTTTCTCCTCTAAAGAGGAACTCCTTGTGACTGGTAATTTATTAAGAAGTGATATGTATTGTTTGAGGGCAAGACAGAAGGCTCTCTCACTCTCTCAGGGCTCCCTCTGTCCCTCTCTTTCCCAGGGACACATAGAATTAACATACTTTTAAAATGTAGGATTGAAAAATTGGTGAATGCATTCCTGTGATTCATGTCCAAATTTTATTTAAATGGCAAGTACTAGCAAAAAGAATGTTAATGAAAATTCTCCTACAGAAAAAGCAAAAACTAGGTACATAAACTTGCCGATAGTTTTATAGAATGAAGCTACATATGTATTCTCCCAGGGCACTAGCAGAATAGGAGTTTCCTTGGCTGCCCTTGGAGCAGGTGACTTTAGGCTAACATAGCTATCCATCTTCTTTGAGACAGATGAGTAAATATAAAAGTATCAACAAAACACTTAATTTGGCAGATATCCATTATAATCTATTTAATAAAATTGTATTTATCAAATATCTATTCAACAAAAATCTACTGAGCAACAGCAATGTGCTAGGTGTTGAGTTTTAACTTTATTCACATTAAGCGTGGATAATATTATCATCAAAAGAGCTAACTTTACTAGATATTTTCATGACACAAAAGGGGTTCCTGTCATTATCTAAGGCCACAGTTATGTCACAATGGAAGTAACTTTCAGTTACTTCAAAGCTAAAGTAAACTCTGCAATTTAAAGATGAAAACAGTCATAATTGTGCCCATCAGAGACCCTGCTCCTCCTGGCTTTTTCTGCTTTCCATTTCTCTTGTTTATTTCTCCCAACTGAATTTATGTTCCTGCTTGGTTGTTTTGCAGATGAGTATGATATTATGAATTGAGGATAATAACTTCAGGTGGAGAACAAGCAGTAAAAAAATCAGCTAATAGTTTCATTTAAATGTCCTTAGTAGTAAATAGCAGGAAGAGGAAACCTAGACAATATATAATCTAGGAGCCGAATTATTGAATGGAATAATGTTTAGAGTTCCACAAAGTGACAATAGCTCTTAAATCACATGAAAGGAAAAGCTTATTTCAGCTTCCGGGTGTGTTTGTGACATTTTTTGCTCCCCAAAGCTAGAATTGCTCTGATAATCAGCACACAGAAGGGTTGTCCTGCTAGGACTAAATTATAAATAAGAGCACTCTCAAAGGATTTTACCTGTAGTAATAGTGCTTTCCCTCTTTAATACACTTCACTTTTATTATAGGATTATTGCTTTCAGTTTCTCTCCTAAATGTGCAGTTTCATCAGCACAATATCTTGTACAGATAATGTTAAATAGTGTTACAGTAATTATTAGACATTGCAGTGACATCTTGTATATTACAGTACTAATATGCAAGTGTCTAAAAGATAGGACAATTTCTTTTATTAAGCAGCAAACATAATTTTCATCTTTTATATGATGAAAATAAGAGCAGGCTGAGTCTCTCATGGTTCTCTAAATAATCGATATATTTGTCCAGGGACAGCCACAACCTTTACAACAGGTAACCGTTAAACAGCTCTGAAATGCAGTATTTAAATAGGTAGGCAGATTGTGGTTACACTCTTTAAACAGATGTATAAAAATAAGAAGAGCAGGCCGGGCGCAGTGGCTCACGCCTGTAATCCCAGCACTTTGGGAGGCTGAGGCCGGCAGATCAGGAGGTCAGGAGATCCAGACCATTCTGGCTAACATGGTGAAACCCCGTCTCTACTAAAAAATACAAAAAAATTAGCCAGGCGTGGTGGTGGGCGCCTGTGGTCCCAGCCACTCGGGAGGCTGAGGCAGGAGAAATTGCGTGCACCTGGGAGACGGAGGCTGCAGTGAGCCGAGATCACGCCACTGCACTCCAGCCTGGGCGACAGAGCGAGACTCTGTCTCAAAAAAAAAAAACACAAGATGAGCAAATGAATTCTTATATTCAAAGAATGTTGAACAATTATTAGGACCAAACAGCCCTGGAAATTCTTATGCCTAGAGTGGTGCTACATACTTGGAAATTTCAGCTAATTATCTGAATCAAGAAGTTTAGCTGATAATAATTAGGTAATATCAGCCCATGCTGACCACATGAAACTCCCTACTGGAGCCTTATAATTAATTTATTTTTACAGAGCTAATATTATTTGACATCTCTTATCAGAGGCCATGTTCTATTTTATGGTGTTTGATGATCCCTCAGGTATCCATTGATGCATGGACTGAGTGTCCTACTGCCACTACTGCCTCTGTTCTTGATTCATCTAGAGCTCTGTCTTCTGCTCCATGTGTACTCGCTTATAATCAGACAGGATCTGCCACAATCATGACTGTCAACAAACCTGAGAAACGTGAGTGCACTGCAATACTGTTCATTCCAAAGCCCCTCCTTAGGGACCCTTGTTAATTGGTCCATTCAGTAACGGTCACTGCCTGTCTGCCTTTCTCAGCAGGTTGTCTAGGATGCTCTCAATAAGAATTGTCCTACTGGGCCAGCCCCATGTGGTTGGGCTCACACTTTATTTTTTATGGGTTTTCTTTGCAGACTTCAATCTTTTAGCTTCAATATCTCCTGCAAGGACCCTGTTTTCTTTTTTTTTTTTTCTTTTTTTTTATTTTTCCATAGGTTATTGGGGTACAGGTGGTATTTGGTTATGTAAGTACTTAATTGGTGATGTGTGAGATTTTGGTGCATCCATCACCCCAGCAGTATATGCTGCACCCTGTTTGCAGCCTTTTATCCCTCGCCTCCCTCCCACCCTTCCCTGCAAGTCCCCAAAGTCCATTGTATCATTCTTATGCCTTCGTGTCCTCAAAGTTTAACTCCCACATATCAGTGAGAACATACAATGTTTTCTTAATAATGCTTTGTATGTTTGCTATTTATGAAATTTCTAAATTTTTGAACTATATTTATTTCCAGCTTAAACTAATTCTTAAAACAATCTATACGTTCTGAATGTTGACTAATTGTGCAAAGACTGATCTTTTTGAATTCCAAATGTAGTTTTTGAGGATTTCAGAGGCACACTCACCTATAACATAATGAAGCAGGTGGGTTCATTTGTTTTATTTCCAATCCAGATATTTACTACTTAAAGGTCATTCTCTCTTTGCACCTTTTCACAAGATTTTTTTATGTATTAAAGTATAAACCAATTAGAATATAAAGAAACATCCAACAAGAAAAAGCCTGTTGAATCCATCAAATCAATTAGTGCTAATGTTAAAACATAGCCTGGTGTCAGTCTAGTCACCCTTGAAACATGTTTTTCAAGGTTGTTTTCTGTCTCCTCATGCATGTGATTATACATAGTTCAAAAACTTTACGTAATTTACATAATGAAATGAAAAGTTTACATAATTTCACCCATTCTATCTTCCCCTGATTTGGTTTTATTCAGTTACGTATAGAATGATTCTATCACTTACTACATCTTCTACCTGTTTGTCCTTTATGGAAATAAAATTAATTGATGAATAGGTCTCAAATTGGGAGAAGAGAAGTAGGAATTAGAGATGGAAATATAGGAGAGGAGAGAAGGGGAGTGTAGACAACCTCATTATTGCTAGCAATGATTTAGTCTTCTTGAGAAGCAGATTTTGAATTTCTACACACAGTCCCGCCTGCAAACGTCTGGGAAGAATATTATTTGGCTTTCACAATTTTTCTGCAGCAGTCTATGAAACCTAAAGAGTGAGGTTTAAAAAAAAACGGAAAATGCAATGAAATTCTGTGATTTTTTTCTATTGTTGTCATGCTTAATAATTAATTAGGTAAATAACGTTTCTTTTAAATTATAGACTCCCCCCAATGCCCACACACACTCACAAAATTGGATTTTTCCTATAAAAATGACCAAGGTTGCTTAAACATAATTTTTTTAGACATTATTTTAAAGAGAAGAATAGAGAAAACAAAAATGTGGGCGGTGGGGCAGGGTGTGGTGGCTCAAGCTTGTAATCCCAGTACTTTGGGAGGCCAAGGAGGGAGGATTGCTTGAGCCTAGGAGTTCCAGACCAGCCTGGACAACATAGTGAGACCTGTCTCTATCAATTTTTTTTTTAATTAGCCAGGCATGATGGTGCATACCTGTAGTCTCCGCTATGCAGGAGGCTGAGGCAGGAGAATCACTTGTGTGTGTGAATTCAAGGTTGCAGTAAGCTATGATGATGCCACTGCATTACAGCCTTAGTGACAGAGCAAGAGCCTGTTTATTTATTTATTTATTTATTTTTAAATCCTTTGTGGCCGTGTTTATAAGAAAGACAACAAAAGTTTTAAGCTGCACAAAAATAAAAGTTGCTCTGGGCAGCAGTTTTTTTTTTTTTTTGGCTATTTTTACTCGATGTTATTCCTCTGAATTATAAAAATATACTTTTTATGTATAACTACACCAGTACCTGATGAACTAGATGAATTTTGCCCATTTGTTAATGGTGAGGAGGGAAAAAGACTACAGCGTGCCTATAAATTATATCATTCTTTCAAATTATTTTTACTGCATTTAGGCACAAAACCTTTTGCCTAGATTGCCCTTGATTGGAAAATGGTTTAACCAAAAAGAGAAAAGAAAAAAAAAAGCCAAGGAAGTAAAACACCTTATTTACCAAATCCAGTGACAAATTTCTGTCTCACTGTTTCATTATTTTAACTTCACCTAAACCATAGTTTTAAGTAGGTGGAGGGATGAGAAAAATCTTAGTTCAGCACCTTGTAGACCTTCAATATGTGTGTTTTAAATGATTTACTGAAATTATAGCACATGGTTTGAGGATGTTTATTTCATGTGAACCCATATTTTAGGCATTAGAAAAAGATATAAGAAAAAAATGAATGAAAAATAAATAATACAGTGGTATTCGTTTCAGTCAGATAACATTTGAAACATAGAAAATGAACAGTTTTATGAGCATTGTTTCTTTTGTATTCCCAACTCTGGAGAGCTCCCGTCATTTACTTATTCTTCCATTACCTAAATCCCAGTGACAAAAGCAGGAAGATAATAATGAAAAAACAAAAGTACAAACTACACAATGGAATAACAATTATTTGTAATCATGTTAAAATAGAAACTATATGTTTGCCAAATTCTAGCACATGAACCAAGCATAGAAACTCAGAGAGAAGTTCAAAGGCAGTTAGAAGGTGGGGTAGGGGGAAATGTTAACTTTGAAAATAGTATCCTAAATGTGAGAGAGAACAGTCCAGAAAACTCCTCTGAAATAATTTATAATGAAGAGGTAACATTTAATGAGAACACAGAGGAGAAGTGCTGTAAATGGAAAATAACAGATAGGAAGCAGTGGAGAATCTTAAACTTGGAGGAACCTTAGTGGTCCTCTGGGGTTATTCTTCTAACCTATGGTCAAACACCTTTTACCAATGCATGCTAGGAAGGTGTTTGACCGTGGATTAGAAGAATAAGCCCAGACGACCATTAAGAGAAAGCGAAAGAGAGAGAGAGAGAGAGAAAGAAAGAAAAAGAGAAAGATATATATATCTGTAATTACATAATTCAAAATAAAAATTTTATATATATATACATATGTATACATATATACGTGTGTGTGTGTGTGTATATATATATATATATATATATATGCCTCTTTCTCTTTCTCTTGGTGGTCCTCTGGGGTATTCCTCTAACCCATGGTCAAACATCTTCCTACCGTGGGTTACGTGAATTCAAAATAAATAGATCATAATTCCATATTCTAAAGTAGATTACTCCAAGAGAGCAGTAATGCCAACTCAAAGTCTTGGTGTTAAAGTTGTTTCGTTGTTTAATTTCCTTTTTCTTTCTTGGACTAAGACTACAAACCCAGAAGTATTTCTGGGGTTGAATTTTTGAATTGATTGATGTGTAATTATGATCTCTCTTTAAATGCTTCTTACATGAATATTCTACTTCTCTCAGTTTTCTATTAAGATGGAGGCAGGTTTCCCACTTGAGGGAAGAAAATAAAGAACTAGGTAGAGTGTGGCTGGTCAGACGTTACACAGGGAATCAACTTGGAAGCCAGGATGAGAATGGGAAACCGTGGGGGTTCTTATCCAGTGCTGTGTCAGTCAAGGATAAGATGAGGTGGAGATAGGATTGATAGGGACAGCAGTTTGGCTGGTGTAGTAGGTCACACATGAACTCACATTTGATATACAGATAAGGTCTTCTGTCCTGCTTATCTCTTTCTGAAATTATTAAGTGCTGTGATGACCTTTGAGCGAACAGTGAGCAATTCTAAGTAGTGTTCAAAGAATGAATGACAACACTTAATAACACCAGAAGGACTCAGGAAATCCAAGGAAACATATTAGCATGTCATAAACCCCAGAAATAATTTACCTGACTCTGAAAGGTTATTTATGCCCAAAATGCTCGTTTCATAAAAGAATAGAAAACAAAACAAAAAAATTAGTTTACTATTGCCAAGACATTTAAATCAAATAGCAAACCAAAGTTTCATTTTTATTTTTTAAAATCATGTTAATAGAATAGTCTTTTCTGCCACTTACTTAGGACAGATTCTTACACATACAGGAGGACATTATTTGTGTATCCTGAACCTGTGGGGTTCAATATCATGCAGAAAATAACGGACTATCCAGGAGATGAATAGTTATTCCTACTGTCTTTAAATAAAAACAAAGCAAAGGCAAGAAAACACCATGGATAACAGCAACATAAATCATCAATGTAGTTCAAGGCCTTTGCTTCAAAAATAGTCAAGACGAATTAGATTAATTCTTCATTGAGAAATTGCATCTCCCTATTAGCCAGTGGGCATGATATGACCAATTTGAGTAGTTGTATTAAACTGCTACTTCTCAAGCCATTATCAAAGGATTGACTAGGGATCAGTGCTTCGATAAGTGCAATAAGATGGCCTTTCTATCAAACAATGAATGAAACTTATCTTGCCCAGTGACAGAACACCAACTCAGAGCCTTGGTGTTATAGTTGTTTTGTTGTCCATTGTTATTTTTGCCTTTCTCCAAATACTGAATTAGTTGTCTCAGTCCCATGATAAAACAGGACTCAGGATAAGTCCGTGTTCATACACAAATGCATCACTGGGCAGAAGTGTTATTCGCACATACATAGTTTCTGTGTTGTTTTTATTATATATATATATATTTATTTGTTTATGGAACTGTAATTTAGTGAGACATATGCTGTATAGGTGGATCAATGCTTCCAAAGACAAAGAGATAAAAAGGGCTTTGAGAATTCCTTCCATCTTTACATCCATCTCTTTTATCATTCTACTTGCTTTCCTAAAATCCAATCTCTATTTCATCCTGGGTTTTAAATTTATTTTTCCCTTCACAAGTGAATACTAACCCATATTATTTTTTTATTCACTTCAAATAGAATAAATAGGAAATACTTCATTTTACTTCCTTCTATTCTTAGTTTCTATCTATCCTTCTCTATAGCAGAAAGGAGCCCAAGAATAAGTTTGCATATTATTGGATTACTGTACCCACGGAACAGTAATGAAAGTGCAGCTTCTCTTTTAGACTAACTACAAATTGGCACACTATCCGTCAGCACGTTGCATTTTATGCCTTGTCCACAAAGTCGATTATATTTCTGTGGTATAAGATGGGAAGTTTAAAGGAAAAAGTTTCCATTTGTTTTCTACTGTTAGTAGAGTAGAATGTTTTTGCTCAATATTCCTAAAGCATGTGGCCCCAACTGTTTATTAACAAAATCCAGTTTTGTTATTTTGATTCTTCCACCAAAGAAATCTAAAATTTGAAACAAACTAACTGGGAGTGATAGAACCTGGGAGTATTATATCAAGTTCTAGCAATCTTAAGGAAGATATTTAACTCCTTGGAGTGTTATTTCTCTCATCCCATCTTACACCACAGAAATATAATCTACTTTGTGGACAAAGCATAAAATACAATTTGCTGAGGGATAGTGTGCCAAGTTGTAGTTAGTCTACAAGAGAAGCTGGACTTTCATTACTGTTCTGTGGGTAGAGTAATCCAATGAGTATAATTAACTTATTTACCAGACAGTTATTTTTAAATTGAAAAAAGTATTACAGTAATGGTAGCATGATACCTTGTATTTTTATACTAAAAATAAGCTGTTGCATATGAAATAGCTGAATTCTGTTTTTTATTGTCTTAAGTCTTGAATTAATTTCCTTCTTGGCCATCAACTCTTTAGAGTGGAACCATGGCAACATCATTATCTAATGTGTATTTACCTAACCCTATATTTCTACCTTTTTAAAGGTCTAAGGACTCACTTCTAGCATGTTACTTATGAAAAGAATCTGTACTCTATCTGTTCCAATCCCTTAATTTTACATACGAAGTAATTGAAATCTGGAGAAGTAAGCAAGCTTTGTTGAGATCTCAGAGCTAGTGACTAACACAGCCTGAACTGCATTTTCTGACTTAAGTTACAGTATTTTTTTACTGCTTATTGTATATAATTATTCAAGTGGGATATTTGGTTTTGTTCGCAGAACCTGGGTTTACTTTGAACTTTTTCTATAAAGTGACATTCTGTGTTTGCAGCTTGTACAGGATAAACAGGGAGCCCTTAGAAAAGTTACAGCTGAAAGATTTCCTGAACCCTCCAACATTAAACATTAAGGCCCCCTGGGCAGTTCACAGTTGTCCAGGCTCCAGCAATTGTAGTGCCCTGGTGTTTCTAGGAATACATTATCTTGGACCTAATTGAGATCAACATAACCAATGTTTCATTTTATTATTAGTCCTTATTGGTGGCTGAAGGTCCGAGGCTACTGCTGATGGCCTCAGACCCATCTTTGGTATTACTGAAGTCATTCTGCAAACTCAACTGCTAAAACAATCACAATTGTTGTCAAATGAAGTAAAGAAGCTTCAGGGTCCATTTGACACTGCAACCTGAATTCCAGACAACCCTGCTTGAGTTGTACTGGGCAGAAGGATGTTAACTCTGTGGTCATCCAGATAAATGGAGTGTTAACTGGAAGGGGAATTGACTTTTCCTGTTGTACAGCAGCAGTCTTTTATCATTTCCGTTTATCATCACAGTGAAAATTTCCTGTGACTAAAAGGGTCTGCGGTGACTAATTGACCAATGACATACTTATTAGGACATGTTTCATATAAAAATCTGACCTAAAATGTATATTGCTTTGGAAAACACAAAATAAAACCAAAGAAAATAACATTTTATTTTATGAATAAGGCAAGTAAATTGGGTAACAGGATTGCAGGTGGGAGGTAGGGTTGATGATTAGAATTTTAGAAAAATTTGTCATGTTAAAAATGGTTTAGCTTGAAGAATCTTTAAATAGAATGCCCCCATGGGCGTGTAGACACACATTCATTTATTAGAAGTCCAGTAAACACAGTTGTTTAGGTACAAATTCATTGTACAATATAAGGTATGCTTATACAATGTTTGGGCAGTTTCTTTGGTTTAAACTGTGAGAGAATTGAACCTGTGTGTACATAAGCACAAATTCATTTGTGATCTTGATCAATTGATCAAACAAAGAACCATGTGCCTTTCAGTAAGGTGATCACATATATGTCCCCATTTGCTCAGGACAGTCCAAATTTATACTAGTTGTCCTACAGTAATTATTAGTAGTGCCCCTCTTCACTCTCAGAAGCGTCCTGGTTTGGATGATAAATTATATGGTCACTTATTTATATGGCTGCTGTACAATGAAATAAGCCCAATGTTAGCTTGAATATAGAACAGAATTACGTAAAGAAAATTCAGCCAGCACTCACAGCAGTGCCATTAGGTTTAGCATCATTCATTCAACAGATCATTATGTAGTATTCAAACTTGAGCAAATATTTGTTGAGCACTGTGTACCAAGCAATGTGTAGGATGCCAGAGATCCAACTGTGAGTACTCTCTTAAATGCTTTCATAAGCAGGACAGATTGTAAATGTGAACAGGGTATATAATATGTGTGTTGCATATTTTATTTAACATTTAATAAGAGAGATTGCCATTAGCATTATATAAATGAGGAAACAGGCTTGCAGACATTTCAAATCTTGCTTATTATCACAAGGCTTATACATAAAAATGCTGAAATTCAAACTCACTTGCTATTAAATTCTTTCACTTATCTCTTCATCATGTTCCCTTGAAGCCATAATTGAGAGAGTAATTAAAGCGTTTTGTGCTTGGTGTGTGGGAGGGGATGAACAGAGGTGATGATGAAAAAGGAATGGGTGGACTACTATTCTATACAGCAGCTTTCTGAGTTGTCAGGACCACCCAACAGAAGGGCTTCTCTAGCCCCTGCCAGAGAAATAATTACTTGATCACTAACAGGGTCAGTGTGGCACCTGGGCCCACTGAGTGACATGATGTTACCTAGATTCTTTAATCTGGTTGGACTGCTATTTCACCGACTGTTCAAATCCCCAAAAAAGTTAGTTCCATTTCTATTCTCCATGAAAATCCCTGCCCTCTTACCAAGCTGTCCTTCATCCTACAAGAGAATAATAATATTTTTTTAAATGAGCAACAAATTATAAGCAACAAATGAGCAACAAATTATATACTTTAAAATTATAAGAGTAAAATTTTTAAAGAAAGAAAGAAAAATAGAAAAAAATTGTTTAATCAAAAACACTTTGGAAATCTTAAAACACACAGAAATTATTGAGGTCTAACCAAAGGGGGAGAGACTCTATGTTTGCCAAGTTCACCAAAAAGTGATAGTTCTTTCTCATATCCCCACCAGTTACAGTGCTCTAAGGATGTTAAAGAAATGGCATGAGCCTACAGATTCACATCTGGAAACAGCAGCATATAAAGAGCTGGTTGTCTTCCCCCATCCCCCGTCCATGCCTCAGATACAGCTGAGAAAGAAAGAAGATGCAAAAAATTTAAATTGTGCCTTACATGAAGGATAGGGTATGGATTTATGCCTTATATTTCCATTATAGCAAATAAAAGGCATTTGGGTTGGCCAGGCAGAGGAGCATTTGTGGTGTACATGACCACTCTACTTATCAAAAAGACTTCCCTTTATAAACAAAGTAAGAAGGAATGGTTGCATCTTGCCTACTACACACACACATTTTTTTTTTAATGGCCACTCCTAATAGTTTAGGAATAGTACAAAGAAACTGGAAAAAGGATGTGTTAGGATTAGATTTAGTTGCATATTACAGAAAGGTCAAATAAAGTGGCTTTAACAAGTTAGGGTTTTTATTTTTCTTTAATGTAAAATAGCCCAGAAGAGATGTCCAGAGCAGAAATTATATCAGAATTGCCCTGGCATATCATTTAACTTTGCCATCTTGAATGTGTTGCTTTCATCCTCCTGGTGCAAGGAAGAGTTTGGTGCTCCAGTCATTACACTCCATTCCTCCCTTGAGACTCTCTCCATTGACTTTTACTTACATCTCATTGGTCATTCCATCAGCAAGGGAGACTATAAACTGGAGGATTTTAGCTTGGCTCATCGCTCACCCATTAATACATTCCTTCCCACAGAGGAAGATAGATAGGTAGAAGAAATATTGGGGAGAATACTGTCAGTCTCTGCTGCAGGCGGAGAGTACCTTTCATATGTCTAAAAAACAGACGAACAGAGGATGGCGTCAGAACAGAGGGTCTTAAACTAATGAGCAGTTCACTGAGGTTGTGGCTGCTCCAGTGACAGTTTTTTTTTTTTTTTTGCCAGCTTAAATCTAGGATTCTCAGAGGGACAGAGATAGGGCCTGCATACTGTCTTCTCCCCTTGGCAAGTAAGAAACTTCTCTATACATCCTGACTGCTGCTTTCCTCCTGTCAGTTCATTGATACTAAGACTCCAGGGAAAAGGGAGTATAGTTCTTCCTGATGTAAAGGCAGCACCAGCAGAAGTACAACAGGAAACATTGTACAAATGCACTGGGGAAACAGCAACATAAAATTCCTTGCTATGCTGATTCTGTTGCTGCAAAATTCATTCCATACTTCAAGTTAAGTAATAGATCCAAAATGCATGTCATCAGCTTCTTTTTTCACAGAAAGAGATGGATCTGTTCAAAGTTCACTTACATTTCTAACATTCCATTGTTCATTTTTATTTCCTCTTAAATGAGCATCTCTTATATTCTGGATGCAAGTGGCGCCAACTTCAAAAAAAAATGTAACATCTGCCTTGCATTCCAGCTCAGTGTATACAGTGGGAGTCTACTTTTCCTGCTCTGTTTCACGAGATCTTAGTTTTGAATCCCTGCTTTGGGATAGTAGTTAGAAATACCTGCATTGATCTTATCACATTGCCCTGTAGGATGAGATGTCATAAAGAGTCAATGAGTTGACACATGTAAAGTGCAAAGCAGTTGGCAGGTGCCTGCCACACAGAAAAGGAACACTCCAGTAAGTGTTGGTTATTAATATTGTTAGTGTTTACTATTATTATTGTTAGTATTAGTGTTGCTGTGTTTTTGCCTCTTGCTAACATTCCTGTTTACGCTTTGTAATATTTTTTCTCACAGACTAATCATATATATTATATAACTAATCTTTTTCATTTTTCCTCTCTTCCTGTGTCATCTTTTTTACCTCTCTATACACTTGTGTGCTTGCCCTTGCCTCTGTTTCTGCATGAAATGCCAATCTTTTCAGGCTGTCTTTGGTGACTTCTAAACTAATATACTCAAATCTGGACATAAGGCATACGTACAAGTAGCTGATCAATAGTTCTCCTCCAATATGCTCATCTCCCATCACTGGGCCTACCAGAAATAATAATAAAAGTTCCCTATTTATTGAACACCCTCTGCTATGGATTCCATATTCTCTGTGGTCTCCTGTAAATCAAATACATTCCTTTTGTCTCTTGGTTTCAGCTCAGGTGTTGTTTCCTCTGAGTGATTCTGTTACTTGACCTTTCTGCCCTCTCTCAAAGTTCTTGGCTTGCAAGCAGCATAATAAATTCCCATCTCATCATCATTAACTGTCAACTAGAAATCCACAGCCATGTGAAGAGTAGAATAGGAACCCATGTCTTGTCACTAAAGCATGCTAGATCTCTAATAGCTCATTAGCATACCATACACAAGCATCCTGCTTTTAATTAGTTACGTGGTGTGATAATTAAGTAGTATTTCTCTGCAGTTTCCCCTTGTGTGGGGAAGAAAGGGAGGGAAGAGGTGGGCTAGCAACAGAAAGGGGTGTTAATGCTTAAGTATGAAGTTTTAAGTAATTGTGACCCTGGGGACAAAATAGTCAGCAAATTCTCAAGGGGAGAAAATAAAGTACTTCCCTTCTGTTAAAAAAAAGTCAAGAGACAAATCTTTCCTCCCCCATTCTCACTAATAGTTATTGAAGGGGAAAAAAAAACCCCACAACTTTTTAAACTAAAGATAAAAACAAATGAAAATGAATAAGATCCAAAGAATGTCTTTTGTTACTCTGCCTTATGTTTTGAGATGAGAGCACAACTGATGTTATTGGACTAGTCCAGGTCAAGAGGATTAGGGAAAGACAACTGCCATCATTCTAAGTTGACTAAAGAATCCTAATGGGATCTTGATATTTCAACAAAGAAACATTTCAGGAAGCCTGTATTTGAGTCCCAAAGATTAACCACAATTAGATTAACCCTGTTCAATCTAATCATTTCTTTTCACAGGTGGGGAGGATGATATACCACCTCTTGGGACTGCTGTTACGCCATTAGTGTGAGACAAGGCGTTGGGGAAAGAAATTGCCCTTCCCAACAACTTCATCATCCTGGAACGAGTATTTAGATTCTTATGGCCAGAGCAGCAGGACATATAAACTGAAGTCATGTTCTGGCAGGGTATACGCTATCGAATTTCTTCGGATACGAGAGCAGATGGCAGGCTATGAACCGTCAATGTGTGGATTTGAAAAGTTACTACATTGTCAAAAAGATAGATGTAAATCTGCTATGATAGAACACACCAAATGCAGTCCCACATTGAGCTTAATAGTAATCCAGTCTCTCACAAACCATACCTACTTCAAACAAGCGCCAAGCTCCCAATTAAAAACAATTCCAGCATGAACCTTAGCCTCTCTCTAAGTGACCCTTTCTCAGGAAGAGCAGATCCCACAGCTTCATATTCTTCAGCATATGCTTTTTCATGTTGTGACATAAGAAGAATATATTAGGTCTTTGTCCCCATTCCTGGCACTGAGCTCCTAAAACCCTTCAAAATCGCTGGGTAATTGGAATGTATTTTGTTATTCATAACACGTCCCTTTTGATCATTCTTGAGTTTATGCTGATGAGGTGACTTAGGAAGGAGCCTCTAGAGAGCCTCAGGATGAGGCTGCTCACAGGAAAAACCAAATGATTCTAAGGTTGGAATGTTCAGCTCCACCCACAGACCTCAGGGAAGGAAGGTGCTGCTAGAGATTAGGCAGAACTCTATGAAAACTCTTTTTTTTTTCCCCCAGCACTTGGGAGGCCAAGGTGGGAGGATTGTTTAAACTCAGTTTTTTGAGACCAGCCTGAGCAACATAGCAAGATCTCTTCTCTGCAAAAAGTAAAAATTAGAAAATAGCTGGGCAAGATAGCATGCACCATTAGTCCCAGCTACTGGTATGGCTAAGGTGGGAGGATTGCTTGAGCCCAGGAGCTTGAGGCTGCAGAGAGCCATGATTATGCCACTGCACTCTAGCCTGGGCGACAGAGCAAAACCCTGTCTCAAAAACAAACAAACAAAAACCCACAAAACTGCCACCATCTTCTCTTCTCTAACTCTCTATCCCTTAACTCTCTTATTTTTTGACAGTCACAGTAAAGCAGAAACACTACACAATGCCCCTTAAGCGCCCATGAGCCTCTCAGAGAGTCTGGCCTCAGAAGGTGAAATGCAGCAATTGATGAGGCTGTGCTGAAGCCATGACTCAATGTCTTGGAAGCCGCCTCTTACTAGCATATGGGAAACATCATAAGGCTACTTCTTTGCCTAAGTTTGGCAGTCAAGCAATTCCAGATAACCCTCCAACTTGGAACAAAATAAAGTCCAGATTAAGAATGTAATCTGGAAGAAGAACAGAGGGAGAGCTTTTTTATCTCTTTATCTCAGAAGAGTACATTTTTAGGGTTCACCTAGAAATTGAGTAAGAGACCAGGGAGATACCAGAACATACTGTCTTTAATTTGATGAGCTAGTACACCTAATTAGATTCTGCTGACCTACTAGACAACATAATACTAAAAGGTGATATTTCCCTTAACCCTTAAATATGCCAGGCCTGTGGTAACAACCAAGTGCAGGCAGACTTGTTTTATTGCCATCCTGTTTGGAAGCAGCACAATATCACTTTCAGACGAAGCCTCTAGGAGATGTTCTGTACTTTTCTCCACTCTCAGTTCTCAGTCTTGTAAGCAGTTACGAGTGTACCTTTCTCCTCTAAGTAAAGAAGCCATAGATGACTCCCCGAGACTTTTAGCAAAACTCTTGGCCTTAAAACTATGCTACCATATATTCTTAGAAGTCAAAGGATGCAACACAGAGAATACATTTTTCTATGAAGATTAATACAAGTGATATTAGTGGATATAACCATTAATTGTTTGGACTCAGCCTTATCTTACAAATGCAAGGTCATTTATCTAGATCAGTACTTAAAAACATAAAATTTAATAAAATGCAATATAAAAGTTGGTTTAATTTTGATATGTGCTTTATAGGAGTGAAGCTGAAAATATTTAACCATATCACTCAATATACAGTTTCTTATATATGTTACTATAAAAATATTCATCTTTTTTTTTTTTTTTTGAGACAAAGTCTTACTCTGTCACTCAGGCTGGAGTGCAGTGGCGCGATCTTGGCTGGCTGCAACCTCTGCCTCGCAAGTTCAAGCCATTCTCGTGCCTCAGCCTCCCGAGTAGCTGGGATTACAGGCATGCACCGCCATGCCCGGCTAATTTTTGTATTTTTAGTAGAAATGGGGTTTCACCATGTTGGCCAGGCTGGTCTCCAACTCCTAACCTCAGGTGATCCACCCACCTCGGCCTCCCAAAGTGCTGGGATTACAGGCATGAGCCACCGCACCCAGCCCCATCCTTTTTTATGGTAGGTTAATCAGTTCCTGCGGTTGAGAGCAGACATAGTTCATTATGATCACCTTCCTATTTTTGTCCTGATTACATTCTTTGTTGTGTTTGTTATTCGTAAATTAAACAAGTGGTCCCACGCTAACATTTTTTTGTCATTCTCTTTTATAGTGTTATATTCCCTTTGACCATTAGAGAGCAGACAGGCTTCCCCAGGGAAAGTAGGTAGAGTGACAGAGCTCAACCCATAGAAATAAAAGCTTTGCTTTAAGAGCCGAAAAATTAAGATTTTTTAACCTTCTTCTCACTGAGCACTCAGGAAAACAGTTTCTATGAATGTATCTGAAGTCCTCAATCCCTTCACCTGCCACATGAGGAACCAAGAAGAGCTTTCCAAGTGCAGAAAATTGCAAGTTATGTGGCTTGCTTTGATTTTGTTGATTTCATATTTCCCTTGTAAATGTCCTTTCCCTCCTTCTGTCTGTCCTTTCAAGCACATGATATCCCCTTCAACTTTTTCCTTGCTCCTCTATCAAGATATGCTGAATGATTTATGACCTGAAATTTATTGCATTCTTTTCTGTGCAATGATAGCTTCCCTGATACAATAGTCTAACTGAGTTTTAGAGGCTCTGTTTCACGTACACCCATAAGTGCTTGCTGCGTATCTGATACCTACAGAGAACACCAAAGTGAATAGAGTCACATGCCTACAGCCCAAAAGCCTAGAATCCCAGACAGGGCTTGGGCATCTTATACAGTCAAAAGTGGACAAAATATCAACAGAAAAAGATGCATTTATGGGAGGATTTAAGACCTCAATATGGAGTCAGAGAAGAAATTTATCAGCATTTGTGTCACATATCCCATAATACCTAGAAACCTTACCACCCAAGAAGACTAAAATGTTCTCACATCACAGTCTAGGATCTATTGTTTCACAATTTCCAATTCCTTGATATTTAAAATGAAATTCCAGATTCAATATCACCAAGTTAATAACAGCAACAGGCACAACAGGTAGTAACAATTAACTTCATTCACATAGGGAATGGAGGAGAGGCTGGAATGTCTTTTCTTTTTAATACAATAGTCATTGCATTTAGGTAAAAAGGTCCTAAAATAGCAAAGAAAATATGAATATTTCGATCCAAATTTGGGTTGGAAAAATGAAAACAAAATGGTAAAGAAGGGGCTCCATTAGGCTCAATAGGGAAGTGATTTATTAATTATTACATAAATTATTCTTGTGCTATAGAGATCAGCCACATAAAGTATAAAAACCCTTGCTCAACTGGTCTCTTACTTTAATTTAGAAAAAGATGTGAATGCAGATATATATATGTAATTATATATATCAGAATTTATTAATATATTGCATTAATATATAATGTATATATTTTATATTATAATAACATATATGTGCATAACATATCAATAATACACACACATACACACCTGTCACATAGAGAATAACACACATTCAAGTGAAAAAGAGAATGATCTAAGAGCATTTTGGAAAGATTTCCAAGATCAGCCACATTTTGTGAATCTGCTTTTAGTTGGCTAAGAATTTTTTTGAAGAACTTAGTCTTCAGAAAGATGGGATGCAGGACACTGTGCTAATTTCCTAGATAAATAATTGTTTTTTAATCAGAAAATTGTTTAAAATACAGATAACTTTCAACAAAGCAAAACTGAAAAAGAAAATGGAATTCAAAGATATGAGAAAGATGGAGCTAAAGTGGAAGAATGCTATGAAGAAGAGAGCATCAGATGACAGCTTTCTAAATAGCGAGGTGACATGCTGATAATTCAATGTGATGCCAAGATAATAAAAATGCATAAGAGCACTGGCCCAACAGACACATGCTATTATGGAACAGGAAACCTGTACCCTATAGCTCCTATTTATAAGGTAAGGTGAGCTGCAATCTGGCATCCCCCTTCTAGGTTTGAATGCCCCACGATCAGAAAGATGCTGATAACTGGAAATGAAAGAAGAAACCAACAACAAAAATGATTAAAGAACTTTAGGGTGCATGAGGAAAGATTAGAAGAATAAAATAGCCCTAGTTTTACTGTGATAACTAGGAAGGAATATGCATGATCACTATCTACGAGTGCTATATCAGAAAGTTGTAAACACTAAGGAGGCAAAGGAATAATTTACAGTACTGTGATACCAAGGTGTATGTGGCTAAGGGTAATAGGATAGAATTACACTTTGCAAAATATAATTTGAAAGCTTAGGATATATTTTAGAAAAGTTAATTGTGCACAAACTGTTTTACATGCCCAGAATGTTAATCAGCTGCATCCTTTCCCAGGTGATGCTCTATCTCTGCCTGCACCTCTACCTCATCAACAAACACTCAAGGAAAAGCACTTAGCTGAAGTCTAAATCTCCCAAAGGAAATGCTGCCTTAGACTTTAGGTCTTAGGATTAGGTTCTCCTTCTTTATCCTCAAGGCATAGATACACACTAATTGGCTTTCTCCCCTCTAAGCCTCACGTAGGTTGAGGACCCAGGCCAAGGAAAAGGGAGCCAGAGTTAGAAACCTGGAAGTTATGCTGGTGTAGCAGCAAAGAAGTCCTATCCTAGCTCTCCCTCAACCTCCTCCAGGTAACCAGCACTCTTAGAAGGTGTCCAAGTGCAGTTACTAAAGCCCTAGAAGATTATGCCGTGGTCTCAAAGAGGATCCAAAGATTATGCACTGAGAACTTGAAGAAATTATTAGAAACCCTGTGTATTTTGTATCTCACTCATTTTTATTCCTATTTTTATATATTTTACATTTATAATATATTAGTATAGTTTATAGTAAGTTAATATAGCAGTTCATTATTATTTATATATTATTCGAAAATTTTAAAAAATGTGTATGTGAGGTCCTGTGACCAATTATTATTATTTTAATAAATCTGCTTTTACTGGAGAGAAGAGAGACTCCTGGAGATTAAAGAATTCTACCTACCACTAGGCAGTGTCAGTAAATATCAAATGAGATCAAGTGTGTTTGTTTAAGCCCTTTGGAAAGTTAAATTTACTATACAAATGTAAAGAAGGATCCTTATTGAAAGGATTAGAAGGAGGGAAAGTTTAGCATTCCTTTCCTTAGAAAAAGACAATCACATAAAACCATCTTCTGAATGTAAATGAAAGATTTAGCCCTATATGTGAGGCAAATACCAAATCTTGGAAATGTAACTTCTCCAAGGAACATACTTGGGAAATTGCAGGGGGAATATTGAGAAGAAAGACTGTAGAAAAAAGAGAAAAAGAGAATCTGGAAGATGCATAGCGTGAGGATAGAAGAAGTATTTTGAGATGAGGTAAAATGAGAAAAATGAGGAGAAAGCAAGCTGTGATGCTGCTGCAGAGGATAAAGATAGCTGTTATAAAGGCAGAGAGCTAAGAAGGAGAAGACCCAAGCACTCTGTTTTTCTTTTGTTGTTTTTTTGTTTGTTTTTTTAGTTGAGACTTTTTCTTATCAAAAGTATTATCCAGTCACTTGTACACTCAACCAATAGGAGATAAACATATTTTTGCAAGCAACTTTACGAAATGATTGCATACCAACACCACCAGCACCACAGCTACACACATCACACATTTATGTAGTGCCTTCTAAGTTAAAACTACTTGCATGCACATCATTATTACATTGGCTTCTGGTTGTGAAAGACAGAGAAGTAATCTAGCAAAACGAAATAAGTCTTAAAATATGACACAAACACATATAATTATTTTTAAAAATGGGCATAAGAAGTAAGCCTTGGTGAAATTTTCCAATTTTAGTTTATCTTGTGGACTGTCAAGACTGAAAATGAACCGGTCTAAATTCTTCACCATTTATGAACAAAGTATAGCCATTAAATACTGTCTTATACCTCTAGAGCAATGTTAGAACAAACAAACCATATTTTATATGAGTGTTTTTAACTCCTGTCTCTGGGCCAATGTCTCATAAATAAGCTAAAAAAGGTTTTTGAGTAAATGCAATTGATTGAGGCATGTGCACTGTTGGTAAGATCAGTTTGGCATTTTAAGTCTGACATGTTATCAAATTGCTAAATGTATGGTTGTGAAAATCTAACAGCTGACTGCAGAGCCACTGAACAATTTTGTAGAATTTCTCCTGTTCTAATTACTGAATATGTTGAACAGTGTTAACACCACTCATGAACTGAAATGTTCTGATTTAATAAAAAGACAATCCTTGGGTAGGGTCAAGCTAAATCCTAATGTCTACAGATTTGGCGAAACAAGGACAGAATGTGTACATTTATGTGTAGGGGTTCTCTTTAAAACGTATTTTTAATGATGAAAAATATCTCCCCAATAGTTTTCAAGTGTTACACGTAAACCTTTTGATAAGAAGGTACAAGCTTATGCATAGACGTCACTCTCCTCTATCTTTTTAATTGAGCAGTCTCTGTATGACTATACGAATCATAAGAGGTCACTTTAGAAGTATGTGCCTATCTGAAAATAACAACTCTATTTTACTGTCAGGCAAGTGTTGTGTTCACCTTCAGGAAGCAGGGCAAACACATGATTTTAAAAATAATTTTCCTATTGGCCGCTATTGCTTCATTGATTCAAACTGTGGACCTCACTCTTACTTAGAATATGATACATTTCCTTAAAAGAAATTTCCATCACCTGATTATAGTACACAATTATAAAGGATCATCTTTTTAAAATATTATTTTCTTTTAGAATTCTGTTAAAATTTAATTTTAAAAAAGCTTAGAAAAATTCATCCCTGACATTCTGTTTACTACTTTAAAGATTACGGGTTTCTAATATACTAGCCTAGCATTAATTTTTAAAATGGAGGAAATTATTAACTGATTTAAAAAAAGATACAGAAGAATTAAATGAAACATCCATATTTAAATAAGTTGTTGGTAATACTCAGATAATAAAAGATATTTTGAAAGCTACTGAGAATTCAAAGGAGACTGATATAAATGGTAAAAAAAAGATTATAATATAGGTTGGAAAATAATTTGGGAGAAGACGGATTAATCCTTAGATTCACTCATCAATTTTGTAGAAAGGCAATGGTGTTAAATTTAGTTTAGGAGGCCAAAGAATTGCACATTCTTCTTTCCTTTATGAGAATGAGATAAAGAACAAGAAAACAAGCTGAAATCAAAGAATCAGTCAAAAGTAAAAAGGGTGACAAGCTAAGATCAATGAGGATCAGTTTTAATTCCTCCTATTTTACCTGATAATTGCCTGGTTATTAATTTTGTAGTGTTAATTAATATTACTCATACTTAATGAGGCACTGCAAAATTCTGAGTCATTAAGGAAAGTCAAAGTATATTTCCATGTTTACTGAGAAAACAAAGAATACTTCTTTTTTAAAATTTCAATAACGGAAGTGCAACAAGGAAAAATGACACAAAGAATAACATTCACTTAACCATTCACTGATTTAACTGGTATTTATATGGAGCACCCACCATGTATCAGCAGCTCTGTAGGTGTAATGAGGTTACAGGAATAAACAAGACTAGAAATTTCCGTGAAGGTCATAGAGCTTAAATTCAAGCAACCAGAAAAAAATTACATTGCTCATTATAATTCTCTACCAGATTTCTAAGCTGATTCTGTTTTTTTCTGTTTTGTTGTTTATTTTATCATTAGCAGCAAATATTCAGAAAAAAAAAATCTTTAATTTTATGTCAGAAAGTGCAATAACATTATTGTTTCCTATAATCCAAATTTGTTTCATAAAACTGTCACACTGCACCATTCCTTGAATACTTCTTACAAATTGAATCTTGTATGACTGCTCAAGAAAACTATCCAAACAATGTTAAAAAGCAGAAAAGACACAAGAGAGAAAAAGGACTAAGAAAAACAGAAGAAAAGAGTAACCCTACTTAATAGAAAAAGAACATTTTGCATAGTGAGTGTTTGGCTTATTATTCATGCCTTCACCTCCCAGCCTTCTGAGGGATGGAGTACACATGCACAGATTGGGCATACTCCATTTGTAAATGTGTTACCAATTACATTAGTCAGTAAAATTTCCCTGTAACTATAACGCTTGGGTCCCTGCTAAAAGGGAGTTTAGAGAACACTACCTAGATCTAAGGCTGAAGGGCATCCTCTGACCTCCCATTCTAAATTAGAATTTGAAAGCCACAGAGGAGTGTGTACCTCCTTTGAAGAGCACACACCGTCCCATGAAAACCACTCTCAGGGTCTTGCCCAGAAGTGCCTCCAGCATAGGGTTTGGAAGCAGATAGTCGAAGCATAGCAGCCCCAGATGTGAAAGCAAGGAAAAAGTGCTAGCTGTGCCTGAGTGCAGCAGCTGAAAGAAAGGTAAAATAGGACTTGATTTTTGTGACTGTGGAACAATAGCTTTTGCCACTCATGACACGTGACTCAGTGGATAGATGTCAGGGTCTGATTTATCGGATTCATCCTCTCTCCTCCTCACTTGGAGTGGAGACAGTGATAGGGTGAAATGGATTGAATTATTCCACTCATAGAAAAGTGAGGTGAGACTGACACACAGAAGAGAGAAAGAAAAGAGAGGACCAGGTACAGGAGAAATGCATAAATTGTAACAGCAATTTAGAGAGGATCAGATATTTTGAGCATGCTTTCAACTCTTTACTTTCTATCCTTTACATACTAACCTTTGTGGATATGTTGTATATAATTACAGATAAAGGCATGTTATATATTAATTATATCATCAATGGACTGTTTTATTACTTCTTTCAACCAATTCTTCAATTTTACTCAAGCTGCAAATCACACTATCAAAAGTTAAAGATGAAAAACACTTGCAAGGTCACGGCTTGTCCTTTTTCCTGAGTAGGGGGAGGAAAACCAGTGTTTTCTTCAGTATTTTGTAAAAGTGATATTCTATCTTTCCACGCTTGTGTGCACTACTGAGGTCTGCGCAAATGCTCTTGCTTTGCTGGTTGGTTTTGCTCAGAGACAGGTTTTAAATGCACTAGAGGAAAGCAGCTTTTGCTAAATGTTTTATAACGTGTCAGGAAACCTTTATCGAACATTTAATCCAAAACCTGGCTTTGAACCAGGGAGGCATACAATTTCGTAATTAATTTTTTAACCTTCTTTTGCTAATCGCTGATAAAAAGCTTAATTCTATTAACAACTCGACTTGACAAATTGCACCGCTCAATGGAAGCGTTTAGAAATTAATTACGCATTTTATTGCATTAGATCGGATAAACAAGGAAGGATCAGCAAGGAAAAGGAAAACCCAAAAAGAAGGAAAATGGCCAAATATATACAATCCACTGGTGTCTGACTATTTCCATTATTATTCAATGTGTCACCAAAAAAAATAAATAAATAAACAAACCTCTCAGCAGTATCTCCTACTAAAGTGTGGTTTTTGCCTCTAGCATAGGTTAGTAACACGTTTTTGTTTTTCCTGGAAGCATACATTTTTTTCCTCCTATAGCCAAAGCTGATTTGGATTTCTGTAGGGATTTCTTGCTTAATTGTCATAGAAGCTCAGCCCTTCCCCTCCTTACATTCACCAGCATCTGGTTTTAGGTCTCCCAGTGCCTGGCCTTCAGGGATTTAACTTAAGAGTAGCAAATTGTAAGGTAGGTGTGATAATGTGCTACCAAAGTATTAAAAATAAGAGGGGAAAAAAGATTAAATTGGCTTCCACTTCACTTCTCCAGCTAAAGTTAAATGCTCCAGCGGTCAGAAGACCATGTGCAATTTTTATGGTTCTCTTTGTCTATAAATACACATGTTTCAAAATGGCTGTTGAAAAAGACTTCTGGCACATAATCAAACTGTTCTAGCTTGTGGACTCCTGCATTGTGTCTGCTCTAACCAAAGACTTTTAAGCTGTAGCAAACTTGTCAATAAATTCATATTTAAAGCACCATGTTCTTTCTCTCTCTTGTATGATTTTGCAGCTCTCTGGCCAACATTCTTTTCCTTCTCTTACTTGATAAAATATAACTGCCCTTTTGGAATTTCTTCTTTAGTTAGTAGTGCACTCAGTTGTTGAGTTCTTTTTTGATTCAGTAATTCTCAAGTCAGTACATAAGCAAGTTATTAAAACAAACATCACTACTGATGGTGATGGGTGGATCAAGAAGAGGAGGGCCTTGTCTACAAAAATATAGAATAGAGCTCTTCATTGAAATGAGATGGAAATGTAGAGAAAATGCAGTCTCATGTCTCAGGCAGAAATACTGTATAAAGATATATTAAGACCAAAGAGCAAAAGAGAAAGATGCTTTCCTAACATCCAATCTCAGTAACTGGTGAAAAGTGTCCCTTTAATCTTTAAGTACCTTAGGAGTTAATTTTCTATCAGAAATCAATTCCGAGGATATAGAATAATTCTGAGAGATTGCACAACATTCAGTGCAAAATTTAAAATTCTTGGCAAAATCATGAGTTTTTATCCAGGGAGGTTTGTGGAAAAATACATTGTTGAGCAATCTGAGATTCTGGGAAATACTGTCAACCATTGGTGCATCTTCCAAAAAGTAAAACTGAAAAGTCAAATCACTAAACAGATGGTAGTCAGAGGCTTGGATCAAGCCATAGGCGAAAGTTGGCTTTTTCCAGTTCTGATGATGTTAGGGGCCCTCACTTTTAAGCTTGAGTTCTAGCAGAACTGTGCTATAACCTTACTGAAACAAAACGGTGTTAATAGAGGGAATTGGTTTTGTTTATTCATGAGAGGCAGATATGGTGGAAACCACCCTAACAGCCATCTTTATTGTGGCACATTGGGTCTTCTTCTTTTCCTCCTCCTCCTTCTCCCTTCTTCCTTTCCCTTTCTCTTTCTCCCTCTATCACCCCCTCCTCTTTCTTTAATTTTTTTCTCTTTAATAATCTCTTCACTTTCCATCTTTGCATGGCCACATTACATCATATTTCTTTTCTGAAAAGCAAGTAGGCAGTGGTGAGTGAAATTGTATATAAATCTGTATGTTACATGAATCAATACATGGACTATTAAATGCAGCTCTAATTTGTGGACAGACTAATAGTTATAAAATTGATACAGAAGCTTTTTTTAATCAACAGATCATTTTTTACCTCCTTCTCTGTGTTGGATGGTACAAGAAGTTGGGATACCAAGTGATGGTCCCTGTCTTTAGAGAGTATTCCACATATATTTAGGGTATGTTAAAAGGTAGATTACTCCATAAGTTATCAAATTAAACATCCTCTATGAAGGATATGCAGTCAGTGCTACTGGACGTTAGAAGATAAAAGACCATCATGGAACTGCAGGGAAAGGAAATAATGTGAAGAAGCACATGGTATTTAAATTGGGAAGAACTTGATGGTCTGAAAATGCATATGCGGTTCATAAAATGCTATGGTTATTTGGAAATGAGAATGAGCTTGCATGGCCCCTTTGAATAAAGAGAGCTATCATCCTGCCCCTTACAGCAACTTGAATCATACCACTCTACTCTGTTTTCCTGCCATTGTCTTTCATTCTTAAGTTTTAAACTTTGTCGGATTTATTTATTTACTTTCTTCCTGCTTTAAAACTTCTGGGTTCACTGAAGCACAATAACTGCTGATTCACAATGTTAAACAAATGAGAAATGTTCATGCCTAGAAAAGGAAGCTCCACAGGACTTCTTGTAGCCTAGCTCCAGCTACGTGAACGAGTGAGAGAAAATTATTAAGGTTTATTATGCTTAACATTATGTAGTGCTCTTTTCTGTTGCCTCTGTAGTCTTATTTTGGGTTGCTGTGAATTACCATCTGCAAAGACATGTAAAAGATAAAAGACAAATAAGAGTAATAAAAACATGCTATATGTATCACCTATATGTAATGTTCTAGGAAAAATGTGTCTCTCCAGGGAGTTTAGCTGATGTTTATAACCACCACCATAGGAACTCTTTGTTTGGGGTTTGGATGTGGCTAATGGAAAATATCACCTCTTGTTTTCTGTAGTTCCATGGGTGACAACTGATTACTACAAATCACGTTGGTCAGTATGTGCAAATGGTGAAGAGGTTTTTTTTTCTGTATTTATTTTCCGTATTCTGTATTTATTTAAGTTGCAAAATGCGTCCATTTCTCATACCCCTTTGCAATAGTAATATATCAAGAAAATTCCTAGCTCTCTCTTTATGAAGAAAGGGGGGAAAGGGTGGGGCCATGTGCTGTGCTTCATATTTCTGATAATAATCCAAGGCTAGAACATCTTTGGAACTGCTGGTTTAGTTGAATGTCGTATTGATTCGAGAAGTCCAGAAAGGGCTGGACTGATTGAATAATTAAAGCCTCTTTCTTAAGATGGTCAGGTTATTGTAAACCAAATAGGTTTCTCTCTTTGTTGATCAGTACTTATGTCTCCAGTTAAGTATAGTGTGCCCCTAATCCTTGACAATGGGGGTCAGAGTTGGACTTTCTGGAGGCTGTTGCAAAGAAGAAAACATCCCATAAGTTCATGATGACATCTGCGGAGCTAGCCGAAACCACACTATTTACAGAAATGGTAGAGTTGAATGCCTGTTAAGTAGACATTTAGTGCATTAAGGTTTTCCTCAAGTTATTCACGTTCATAATGCTGAAATATTTACTTTGCTGAGAAAATTTTTATTCATTAAAAATGTTTAGTCACTTAGAATCACGAGAATTCATAAGATTACAAGAGCCTCTAGAGATTTTCCAAATGAACCACCCATCATCACGCTGATAGTGTTCCTTCTATTTTTTTTTCATACATTATTGAGAAAGGCAGCATGAGAAAAAAGCAGTGACAAAATTCTTTAGCTACTTCAAAGACTGGATAAGCATCTGTCTTGCAGGTCACAGGCCACCTAAAGCCAATTCTATTATGACTGGCTTTAAATGGATGGCTTGAAAAGTCTCACTTTGTCTACACAATTGATTTCATGAGGTTTTCTTTTTGGTGTGAGATTACTGAGTTCTTTCTCCAGCACATTTCAGTTGCCCCTCGTGGTGACAGTACACACTGCCAACTGCCTTGCCCTCCTTAAGTGGGTACCATCAATGTGGCCTTAACATTTGCTTCTTTGTGCTTATGGACTAGGTGCACATTGGCACACATGTGGCATAGGATAGGCTGTGTATACAGGGACCCCTTGGTCTCCCATGTGTTTAAGAACAATGAATGTTAATGTTGTTTCTAGCCAACAGTGAGAGGAGCAGAGACGCTCCTAACGAGAGCTGACACAAGGAGAAATACTGGCTTTTTGTCTGTCTTGTATGTTAAACAATTCATGAGATTTGGGGTCGAGTGAGACATTTAATAAACATTGGCCTCTTGGGCTGCCTACAGCTGGTGATTTGTCACTATTGGTCAAATGTATGAGAAGCAGAATGAGTTTTTCAGCTTTTAGGACTTAAGTCTTAACAAATAATTCTATTTACCATCCATTTAAATTTAAAGGTACAACATGATTTAAGAGCTACATAACTGAATTTTGGCTTGTGTAAGAAAAGCAAGTTTTTCATAAGATAAAATTAAAATATTTGCAAATTGAAATCTTTAATAGAATCTAAGCACTGGAATTGTTCCTAAATGTCTTTCAGCCTAAGCTTCCACTCCTTGCAGTAATCCCTTCTGAGGAATGGGTCAGTTATCTATTCTTGATGTAACATTTTGCTCAGCTCCATTTAGTTTCTTTAAAGGAGCTGCCCTCTGTAGTCTTGACATAAAAGGAATGACCCTCTGGGTCTGTATTATCTTATCTCACCTGTCTCTATCTGTATTGCTGACCTATCCTTTGCTAATGACTTCACCTGCTTGTGATTAACGTTATGGGTAAAGCATTTGCTGGGTGGCCTTGGCTCCCATGAACAACTTCTGTTAGAAAGGTGTTCTTGGTATTGAGGTACTTTCTGCCTGTTTTCTATCTCTACCTTTTGTACTAACCATGGCCTCCTCAAAAAAAATCAACACCAAACTTTGTGGCTGAATTAGGAATTCCAGATTTCAGATTACAGAATGCCAGTGAGGATTTCATCAGAGAAATCATAAGTTAAATTGATGTTTAATCAGATGTTTCGACCTTAAATTAACAATAATTTATTCAACAGTTTATTGTTTTGGCTAATCTGTCCAAATGGGAGGGACACGTTTTGTAAAAAGAGAAACTGTTGCTTGAAACCACATATCTTATCAAGGAGGCAGCATATCTTAGCAAAGAGGGTAGTGAACTCATGACAACAAGGTGGGCACATGGACAGTTAACCTTCTGTCCCTTCAGTGGATTCCAGCTAAGGTCATCCATTCTTTGCAGAAACAGTTTGTCCTGCCTCTAAGACAGATGTACACACAGGGACAGCAATGAGTTTACTTTCCGTTTTCTTTTATAGCTTTCTTTTGTTCCCCCCAACACTCCCTTTTCTTTTGAGACAGAGTCTCACTCTGTCACCCAGGCTGGAGTGCAGTGGCACGATCTCTGCTTACTGCAGCCTCCACCTCCCAGGCCCAAGTGATCCCCTACCTCAGCCTCTTGAGGCACTGGGACTAGAGGTGCATGCCACCATACCTAGCTGATATTTGTATTTTTTTTTTTTTTGTAGATACAAGGTTTTGCCATCTTGCCCAGGCTGGTCTCAAACTCTCGAGCTCAAGTGATCCACCCATGTCAGCCTCCCTAAGTGCTGGGATTACAGGCCTAAGCCACCAGGCCTGATATTTGTTCCTTTTTGTTTTGTTTTTTTAAATCACAACCTTAGACATTTATGAAGGTAGAAAATAGCCGTTCCAGTATTGATAATAATTTGTGTTTAATTTCTATACAGAAATGGTTCTTTCTTGAATATTTTGTAGGGATGGATGAATTGAAAGTGAATTAAAGTCAAGATAAAGGAGGCAACTCTTTAATGAAGGAAATGTTACCAAATCCATAGTGAAGAGTAGAATATGTTCTTTTAGAGTAGATAGAAAGTCCCCAGGCTCCTGGTACTCTGTATTTGACATTATATTTCAGGCAGCAAAAAAAATATGTTACCTTACTTGAAACAAGTACTTGTAGGAAAGATAACAATACAATGATTATATGTATTTAAACTAAGATTAGGGAAGAAATATAGCATGAGTTTTGTTGTCAAGCACTCTGCTATTTACTTCATTGAATATGATTCTATATGGCACAACTCATTAAATTCTGGGACAACAAAAGACATAATGTTAAGATCTGGATTTTTCTGTACACTACTATGAAATAGCTAAGTTATCCTAGGCAAGTCAGTTATCTTTCTCGATCTACGAACCTTTGTTAATAAAATAGGATTTACAATAATGGCTATCCTATAGGTCATAAGAAAAATAAATGAGATAATGCTCTTAGAAGCACTTTGTAAATTCTAAATTAGAATTTTAATGGCAAGAGTTTTTGACAGTATGATATTGTCATCGGTAATAATTAAGACAATAATAATAATAAACATATGCTAAAGGGTAGTGCTGGCCCATAACTGTGGCTAAGTATGATCTAATGGGGTCTATTATTGATTTTGCTGAAAATACTAATTTTTCGGGACTCTCTTGGATATACGGTACCCAGAAGACTATGTATTAAAGAGTCTTCTGGCTGGGTGTGGTGGCTCACACCTGTAATCCCAGCACTTTGGGAGGCTGAGGCGGGCGGATCACGAGGTCAGGAGTTTGAGACCAGCCTGACCAACATGGTGAAACCCCCACTCCACCAAAAATACAAAAATTAGGCAGGTGTGATGGCATGCACCTGTAATCCCAGCTACTCAGGAGGCTGAGGCAGGAGAATCGCTCAAAGTTAGGAGACAGAGGTTGTAGCGAGCTGAGATTGCGCCACTGCACTCCAGTCTGGATGACAGAGTGAGACTCCCATCTCAAAAAAAAAAAATATAGAATCTTCTACTAGTCTCCAAAGCTTCTGAGAACTACTAGCTTCCAGGATAAGGCAGAAAACTTGTCTTGTCATCTTGGCATGGAAGTGGAAAAAAATATCAGATAAAGAGTTCACATGTGCTGTTAATTCTGAAATTAGGGGATATTATTTTGGACACATTTAGATGAATACTGATTCTCCCTTGACTCTCATAGTATCAAAAGTGTTGTTTAAGTTTAGTCCTTTTTTTTTTTTTTGAGACAGAGTCTCGCTCTGTCACCCAGGCTGGAGTGCAGTGGCGCGATCTTGGCCCACTGCAAGCTCCACCTCCTGGGTTCACGCCATTCTCCTGTCTCAGCCACCCGAGTAGCTGGGACTACAGGTGCCTGCCACCATGCCCGGCTAATTTTTTTGTATTTTTTAGTAGAGACAGGGTCTCACCATCTTAGCCAGGATGGTCTCGATCTCCTGACCTCGTGATCCGCCTGCCTCAGCCTCCCAAAGTGCTGGGATTATAGGCGTGAGCCACCGCGCCTGGCAGTTTAGTCCATTTTAATGAACTGATGGGGATTATATCCAAATGCCAGCCTTTCACACATCAGTCTACACAGACATGGGTGTGCTCATGCCTACATATGTACACAGGCATCCTTGGCCTGGCTTCTTGCTTAAGAAACCTCAGTGAGTCGGGGGAAGGAAAGGGGAGAGATGAAGGCCAAAATGTTCCAAAGTGGCTGGCCTGGAAATTAAGCACGTTGGCCCTGGTGGAGAATACTGCCTGCCTCCTTTCCCTGCGTTTTTGACAGGTCAAGCTAACATTTGCAAAATGGAGGAATAAACTAAACGGTTTACTCTGTCCCCATAGTCTGATACACACACACACACACACACACACACACACACACACACACACACACACACACACACATTAGAGACAGGGTCTTACTATATTGCCCAGGCTAGACAGATTCAAACTCTTGGGCTCAAGTGATCCTCCCATCACAGGCTCTTGAGTAGTTGAGATTACAGGTGTGTGCACCTGTGTCCAGTTTGCCCCAAAGTTCTTGCTTAGATATGATAGCTACCTAAAATTCCCTTTCTCCTTTTCTAGCTGTTAAAATCCTACTCATCCTTCAAGGTCCTGAAAGGTAAGATTCTATTTCCTTTCTGAAACCATTTCTTTCTCCAGAAGGATGGCCCTTCCCTGCTCCCAAATGAATTAGTTACCTGTGCATAAATCTTTCCCTTTAATCTGGGAGCTTGTAGAAATAGGGCATTTATCTGCTCCATCTTTGTATCTCTAGTACGTAACACATTACCTGGCACAGAGTCTGGTAACTGCTAACACCCAGATGATTAATAGTGTCAGCATTAAAGAATATGTCCTTGAAAATATCTTCCCAAGGGCACCATACTCTTTGTTTTTCTCCCATGATTTCAATGCTGTACTGTGTGGACTTAAACCTGACATGATCTGAAAAGCTTTATGAGGACATGATGTTTCACTATAATTTAGGTGAGGAGAAGTAAGTGATGTTAAACTGTCTCAGATGAGTCAATATGGCCTGATAAAGATTAACATTGGCCAGGTTCCTATTTTCACTTTATGTTTAACTACACAATTCAACTGTACATTAATAGTTGAAACCTAGTGATAAACCTTAGTTACTGAAGTCTCTTCTTTCTGAGTTCCATACTTGGTTCCAGGCCAAAATTCAGTTTGGTATTTCTCCCTGGTTTTCATCCACAGAAAGACTTTTTCCCTGAGTACACTCGTAAATTTACCATAGTCCCAAAACTTCTTTCTTTCTAAAATGTTATCTACTTTGTTCCCACAATTTCTTCAAAAATATCTCTAAAAATCTCCATAATATTATTCTTCTATGTCATATTTGTAAGATTTTCATTCCCAAGTAGGCAAAAATGCCTCTTGACATGTAAACATTCTTAAATACTTTTTCAGTCTATCAATTAGTGTGTTTAGAGGATAATATTGATCCTATATAGCAATTTTCTTTATTCACAAATTAAGAAACCGTGTGACAGGTACATATTGAAAAAGGGCTGGACAGTCTGAATGTATATAGAAAGGCTCTGGTCTGATAGAGTACAGTAGTGAGTTCTCTGTCATTGATTGTGGATAAGCAGAAACCAGCACAATACAGAGGTAGGGACATTAACAGAAGCAACTTAAATATCAGGCAGCGGTTACTCCCAGACTTACAATTCTCCCAACTTTCACATTACTTTGTTGAGATCAGAGTTCTGTGACCTTACTTTTATGTCTAACTGAAAATGGAATGTAAGCCCTGCATGAATTATTAATACCATACTGTTCTATGTAATTTTTCCAGCTTGTTTTCTAATCACATATCCATCTCCTGACCGTGTCTTTATCAGTAAGAAGATGACCACAGTCACAAAAAAATCGGGGATGGAAAAGCTGATGTGAGCCTTGTTGATTTCAAAGTGTCCTGAAATGAACATTGTCTCGACCCCACCCCACCCCACTCTACCCTTCTTATGACTTATCTTCACCACTACCAGGACATTTTCAAAGTATGAGAAAGTCTCTCAGTCATGTAGCTGTTTTGAATTTCTAGGGCTGCTAGCCCATTTATCACTGGTCCAAGTGCTCACTTACTGCTTCTCCCTTCCCTCACCCTGCCATATGCATCACTTTGGATGTAACTTAGGAGGATGACACGCCCTCCCCTTCTTGCCCCGAGGTGCTTGTGGAGCTAAGAGAATGATGTGCAGTTGGGTTGTTTATCACGGTGCTGAAAAATGGAAGGATGGCATCGCTACAGGAGCAGATGGCACTGCACGCTTGGCATAATTTTCTCAGACAAACTAGGACTAGGGCTGTGAATACTGGCATTTGCCTGCTATAGTCATTCACATCAAAACATAACAATGAAAATAAGGTAGTACTGCAAAAAAAGGTAGGAGATTTTAAATCACATGTATTTAAGCATTGTGGACTGCTGTTGTGTGCACACAACGTGGTTGCACTCCTGAAATTTTGTGTCAAGAATATATTGTATATGAAAAATTTTTAATATATATTTATGCTCCTATGTATTCCCATAAATGTATTCTGGCAATGATACCTCAGAAGATTGCATTCAGGAATATAGAGAATGTTTGAAAACATAGAAAGAAAAATGATGGAAGAATAAGAATGTGTTTTACACTCTAGGAACTATTGAAGGCTTGAAACAGAAATAGGATGTCATAAAGGGAGCATCGACTTTTGTTTGGGAAACTTGAATTAAGGTTCTACTACTCATTAATTGGCGGTTTTAAGCAGGTCGGACCTATTTGACTTTTCATTTTTTTCTCATTGGGAAGTAAAGAGTTTGGACTGGATGACTGCTGAGATTTCTTCTAATTCTAATATTCTTTGATTTGCTCTTCCTCTGAGAACTAGTGAAGCAATAATGCAGGCCACCTACCTTTTGGCCTACTTTGGGACTTTTTTTAGCTTAAAGAATCATGGAACTAGAGGAGAAAGAACATAATGAAAATGGCCATAGGACTCAGTATGCATATTATTTCTGAAGTACATCCCATTTTTCTTTTCTTTTTCCCTTCTCTCTTTCCTTAGAATCAAAACTTGTGTGCCTCAGTTTGGGTTCTCTTTAAGATAATGGGACAATTTCCAAGAAAGTGGCTATAATCTCTCAGGTGTTTAATGAACTAACTTACTTTTTCATACATTCTGATTTTTAAAAATAATTTATAATTTCTCCAAAGAAGAAAGAAAAATTATGCAGAGGGAACAATACATACTAGGATGCAGGGTCATGAAAATTCTGGCATGTTTGGGGGAAAGTGAGAAATTGTATATAGTTTGCATATAGGATGTAGATGAAAAAGACATGAGTTAAAAGCTAAGAGTAAGATATGCACCAAATTTTAAAGAGTTTTGTATTCCTGTCTAAGAATTTGAATTTCACTCCTTGGGCAATAAGAAAATAGAGATTTTTATGAGGAAAGCTAAGTAACATGATCAGATTATTTGTCTGTAACATGTATTAGTTTGATAGGACAGCCATATCATAGTGGGGTGACTGAAACAGCCAAAATTTATTATCTCACTGTTCTGGAGCCTAAAAGTCCAAGTTCAAGGTGTCAGCAGGGTTGACAACTTCTGGGGCCATGATCCTCGTCTTGCAGGTGGTCATCTTCTCCCTGTGCCTTCACATGGTCTTCCTTCTATGCAGGTCTGAGTCCTTGTCTCCTCTTCTTATAAAGACATCAGTCATATTGATTAGGGCCCACCCTAATGATCTCGCTTTAACTTAATTACCTCTTTAGACTCTATCTCCTAGTATAGTCACATTCTGAGCTACTGAGGATGAAGACTTCAACATATATATTTTGGAGGAATGAAATCCCCTGATAACCTAATAACTATGATGATATGATCTGATGATAATACAAAGGAAGTTTTACTTATAGACTGGACTCTGAACACTCGAACCATTTGAAATAGTTCAGGAAAACAATGCTAACAAGAGCAACTAAAGGAAAAATAGGAGAAATATATTTCTGAGGTAAGATCAACAAAATTCAGTTACTGACTGGATAATGAATAGAATGAGGTCATTGCCCATTTATTCAAAAGTATTAAACACCTACTATGTGTCAGCAATAAATAAATGTGAGTCCCTGATGTTTTTGGAGTTTGTTTTCTAATAAGGAGGGGACAGAACATACATAAACAAATAAATAACACTATCTGATGATGAGAGTGCTCTGTGGATTATTAATACAAGATGCTGTGTGAGAGTCCCTGGGCAGCTGTTTGAAGATAGCATGCTTAGGTTAGTCTCACTGCAGCAATGGGGAGAATGACAAGAATGACCCAGTCACACAAAGAGCAGGAAGAACAGACACAGGAACGGGTTCCAATCTTAGAAGTTAAATTGGTACTAGAAAATGTTTGGAAGGGAAGATAATGACTTCATAGAGGACATGTTAGGTGGGAGGACATGGGTTTGCCTGATGGGCTTTGGGAAATATATTCAGGACATGATGAAGGATTAGGTCAAAGGACATAAATTTAGGAATAACCAGATTATAGAGGAAAATTGAAGTGGTATTGTCATTGAAAAAGATATAAAGTAGAACATTTCAAAGAAAGAGCCTGATGTAACCAATTGCTGGAGAAGTTGAGAAAGGACAGGACTTAAGACTCAGGATAGCATAGGACTCAAGGGAGAAGGAATAGAGTGCTTCCTAGAGAATTAGTGAAGATGAATAAACTTATTAGTGTTAAAGTAAATGGAAGGGAAGTTGAGGAAAGTCTGTTACCTAGAGGTCTTTATTTTAAAAGTCATTGGGATGTGGACTTTAAAGCACAGCGGTAAAAGTTTAGGAAACCTACTATAGGAAGTGCACAAGAGAATTTACTAGGGAGAAATAAAAGATTTGCCAAGCACAGGGAACTTTCTACTGAAATTAGACTATCCTGTTTTTTTCTACCACTGCCCAGATTAATAATTTAGAAATACAAATTTTATAATTGTGAATCCTCAAATAATTTTTAATAAATTAAGCCTGGCTTTAAGTTAAAAAAAGAAAAATGTCACAAATGTTATTTTCATTTAATCCCATATATTTCCTTGCCACATTCCTATAGACATTTAGTTCAGTAACAGCATATGATTTCTGAAATAAATAAAGGTGATAGCTGCACAGATACCTTTTCTTAGCCCTGATTCTCTTCAAATTGAATGGCTGCAGAGAGAAAATTTTGTCTTCAAGCATAAGAATTCTTGAGTTCTCACTGTTTCAGGGTAGATGATTCAAAGCTAAAACATGCATTGAGTAGTTAAGACTTAGAGAACTTAGAAAATTTTGAATAGGTATTTGAATTCTATTTCAATCCAGTCATTGATAAAATGCTAACACATAGAAAAGTGAAAAAAATAGAATAATCCATTTTCTTCTAATACTAAAGAGCTAGATTGTGCTAGCCCCAGGCAGTTAGTCCTCAGATCTGATCTTCATACTGCCCTGCTCCTCTCTTCCTGGCAGGAGTTTGACTTTCATGTCTTTGGTTCCCAGACTCCTCTATTAAGCTGGCTTCATGCTGGGCTCACCCAGTGGAAGTCATGGTGGGAAATTAGAGGGCAGGAGGAAGGGAACAGTTAGAATATTTCTCTCTGTCCTTTTTGCCTCAGTTGATATCTTGGGCAACTGCTGAATCTCTTCTACAGCCCCAGATCCCCAGGACAGACGTGCATTGCTCTGAATTTGCCCCTGGGTTCAAGTAATATCATCTTCTCTGTCTTTCTAACTAGAGAGTAGAAGTAGCTTCCTGCCGTGACTAATCACTTTGTTGCCTTGTCATCCCCTGGTTGACTTCTCATTCTCTTCCATCCTCTCTTAATCAAGTCTCTACATTAATTTCTCTCACTCTTAATGACTCATAGAGAATTACATTTTCCTGATGAGACCTGACTAACTCAGTCAAATCAAGAGTTTACTTCAGGATAAAGAATCTTAATATTTTAATCCATATTTGAAAATAATTCAATAACAATTTGGACACTTCTATCTATGAGGCAGGTAAGAGTGAAAGTATTGGAAATATTTTTTAGAAGACAATCTTTAGTGTTTTTTTTTTCAATGTTAAAACTCAAGTTAGATAGGTTGAACACGTTTGGGCTGCAAAGATCAGTACAGAAGAAAAGCAAATTTATCAGGGGAAAGAAAGTGGAACCAAAGCCTTGGAACGAAAAAGCAGGAAGAGAAACAGTACTTGGAAAAACATGTTAGAAATGATTAAGGGGTGGCAGAGAAAAAATAAAGTCCAAAAGAAAGGCGGAATAGTGGGAAAGCAGGGGACCCGGAAAAGAAAAGAGAGTTTTTCATAACAGAAAAAGAAATGAAGCTGACACCAAACATGCCCACTTGGGATGTTGTCCCACTTCTTCAGGACAACTGGGCCTGGCTGGAGTATCCAGAAAGCTTTTAAATTTCAGTTCGTGACCAGCCGTTTCCTTCCCCCACCATCAACCTGCTAATGCTTTTCTAATAATTACCATTTTTTAAACTATTTTGGCTGTTAAAAATGTTTCTTTTTAATAAGCTGATTAAAAGAGGCTGCTTATTAGCATAAGCTCTTTGCCGTTCAGCTCTCTTTCTAATTAAAAGCACTCATCTGTGGAGACCTCGATTTTTCCCTTCTTTCTGTGATGGGTTTTTGGATATTTTTCCTTGGCAATTTGTTTTATTTTACTCTTCATTCTTTTGGTGGTTTTCTGCTCCTGTGTTCCACAGAGATAGAAGCTACAGAGCAAAATAACACATGGGAGGGAATGTGCAGTCGGAATACTTGAGAGAGGAATGAAATTCCACCCATCTGATTAAGTTAAGTCTAAAAAGAAAGCCTCACTTTTATGGTAGTTATGTCATATTTCCGGGAATACAAGTAACCAAAAGTGATATGTAAAGATGAAAGGTGATGAATCCAAATCTGCTGTTCTCTGCATAGGGTTACACCCCCAATTCCAATGGCTATGCCCTTGGCAATGTTCTTTCTCTAACAGTGATAGTGGTGAGGAAACATATTTGGAAGCTTTTCTACAATGCTTCTACAACATGAGAATATGCAGTGGACAACATTTGCTGATTGTAGATGCACCCAACCCTCAGAAATGGACCTTAAGTATATGGCTAGCAAACTGGGGAAATAATTAGATCTAGAATGGCGTGATCTGTGTCATAATTTTATTTATTTTGATGGGCAGAAGTTTATAATATAAAGAAAAGTATACTAAGACATTTTGCACACCAAGAATTATCTATCTATCTATCTGTTTTTTAGACAGAATCTCACTCTGTTGCCCAGGCTAGAGTGCAGTGGCACAATCCAGCTCACTGCAACTTCCACCTCCTGGGTTCAAGCGGATTCTCCTGCCTCACCCTCCCGAGTAGCTGGGACTACAGGCGTGTGTCACCAGCCCAGCTAATTTTTATATTATTAGTAGAGACAGGGTTTTACCATGTTGGCCAGACTGGTCTCAAACTCCTGACCTCAGGCGATCAGCCTGTCTCAGCCTCCCAAAGTGCTGGGATTACACAGGCATGAGCCACTGCGCCCGGCCAACATAAAGAATATATTAACAGAAAGGGTGGTCTACATGAAACCTTGGACAGGAAGCAAAAGAGAAAAAAAAAATGGGAATATCTGCAAGTTTTTTTTTTTTTTTTAAATGGAGTTTCACACTTGTTACCCAGGCTGGAGTGCAGTGGTGCGATCTTGGCTCACCAAAACCTCTGCCTCTCGGGTTCAAGCAATTCTCCTGCCTCAGCTTCCTGTGTAGCTGGGACTACAGGCATGCGCCACCATGCCCGGCTAATTGTTTGTATTTTTAGTAGAGATGGGGTTTCTCCATGTTGGTCAGGCTAGTCTGGAACTCCCAACCTCAGGTGATCCGCCAGCCTTGGTCTCCCAAAGTGCTGGGATTACAGGCATGAGCCACCGCACCCAGCTGTCTGCAGGTTAAGGAAAATAAATTTTAGAAAGATGATACATGTTTTCCTGTTTATCTGGCATAGCATGTTATTTAATGCTATTATTTGTTTTATCAGCTCTCTTGAGAATCTAATGAAACTGTTGCCTTCTCATTCCTGAAAATGAATATGTGCATAAAAACATATTTTTTTCTTACAACAACTTGGGTTCCACAGATAACTTAAAAGTCCAACAGTCCATGGACATGAGGTTAAAAAATTCTTGATGCAACTTCTACAATTGGTGCTGCTAGCTATATGGATCATTTTTCCTCTTTGGCTTTACTTTAATCTCATGCTTGCCAAGTGAAGTTTAATTTCATTTTTTCTTCTCCTGTAGTGTTTTCTCTAGGGGAGACATTGTGCCAACCATACTTAGTACAAACGTTTTTGTTTGCTTGGCAGACTAATATCTCTATGTAAATTTATAACATAACATTCTTCCTTATTGTCTTTTTTAATCTTGCTAGTGTGGATTGCTCCCCTGACCTTTTTAACTCTGAACTGACTGCCAAGGTTTTATTTTTGTAACCACAAAGCTGCAGATCCAGGTCCACTGACATGGTTTTCTCACTAAAGTCTGCCATCTTACAAAAGCTCCAAAAGACCTTGCCTTCATAGATCTCATAAATAGCATGCATGATAGATATCATTTTTGTCAAATCAAGTATTCATATTATGTAGGTTGCAAAGGAAGGCTTCAAGGATACTTATATCCATAAAACTTTCTGACCTGTTCTTAGAACCGTACTTTCTTATAATAATCATCAATTGTATAATTTGAAAATATTTTGTGTATATATAGATTTTGTAAGTACATGAAGAATTATTATGTTGCTAAGTGCTCTATGTGTAACTGAACACACATATACTATGATACAACTTTTTAAAAATGGAAGAAACCATTGACAGCTAAATGGCAGAGTAGATTATAAACTTATTCATATAAAGAAGTATGAAATGTAATTTAACTGATTAAACTTGCAGAAAATCAGGAAGGACCAAAGGATTAAGCAACAATAAAAAATTGATCTACCCCCTATTAGTGGTAGAATAGAAGGTATACTAAGAGTTTTACATTTTAGATTTAGAATAATTTTTAAATCTAATTCTTATTTCACTCATGTAGAATGCATTTAACAGACTTCCTGACTAATGGCCATGTAACCTGTGATTGAACTCTTCCAGGGATAGAGAGCTCACTATTTTTAAAAGACCCAATGTTGTTCTGTTTGGTCCTTCCTGATTTTCTGCAAGTTAATTTATCTTCCATGCTTCAACAATTTATAATTTAAAATCATTTTTTAATTTAGGGTACAACATGTTAATTTATTTACTGAATTAAACAACATATTCCCTAATATACTATCTTGTTTTGTCTTACAAACACTGTTCAGGAATTTAAGAATAGGATTCATGGATTTCAACAGATCTTTTTATTGCTGAAATGTTTTACTTTCTCTTTTTTTTTAAACATATGTTCTGGATAGTATTTGCTAGGATTTTTGGAACTGAAATTATAATTCCAAAGCCTCGTGAGTCAGGAAGCCACTTTAGTTTTCTATAGCTTAGTAAGTGAACTTTATCAAGACAGAGACATATGGCTGTGTGTTCCTACTTGACCATTCAGCAGCATATACTGATTGGGACACCAAGTCATCCCCTTTACTCTACTCATGTGAGACTCTATACATTTCATAGCCCTGTGGTGAGGTCAGCAACCTCACAGAAGAAACCCTGGAACAGATTCTCTTTATTCTAGGCTTAGACTATCACAGGTGACATGACACAAATGCATGTCTACTACTCATAGTTTCTAAAAGCATAGCTATGCCTAGCCACGTGGAGAGAACTAAGCTAAATGCACTCTCAACTTGTGAATCATCAAAACCTTGTCACTTGGGTTATGGCTATAGGATATAGTGTTGATGATACATGGGGTGAGGGGAAAAATAAAAGCACACAATGCAGTCTTCTCAGAGTGCAGAGGAGTGATTTAGTATTGCAACTTAAAAAAAAAAGATAACCATGTCATTATTTCATTTTTATATTGAGCACATTTCCTGCTGAAGACAGAAAATACCAATCCATATGGAATGCTTTGATATCAGGTTTATCTTTTCTTCTCTAATTTTAGAGGAGGGGCAGATGGACTGGAATCTTATGGACTGATTTTATTGGTCATAGCAAAGACAGATTAGAAACTTACATGACAAACTGGGGAGAGACTCTACTACCATGATGAAATAGGCTTTGTATAGAGGTGTTAGGTAATTTCTTCCTCTCCTTCATTGTCCTCCCTTCCTGGATATATTGCACCCAAGTTGGGGCCACAGGGAAAGTGTTCCAGACAGGTGGACTCAAAATGTGCTGTCTGCCTAGTCATAGTCCCATATGCGAGTAACTCCTGCATCAGTCAGGATGGGTATTTGTGTGGATCACAATTATGCATGAATATTTAAACATTTGAAAAATGTTTTCAAAACGGCAGCTATTTTATGCTCCTGTTCTAGAATCTCAACCATGTTTCAAAAATGTCAGACAGGATCAAAATATTATGAAATGACTAAAACAGCTTAGGTTAGTTTAGTAAAGACCAAAATGTTGTGTGTGAACCTTTGAGGGAGCCAATAACTTCGTAGGAGACAATTAAAAAGGTAAAAGCCCCAGAAGGCCTGGTGATAAATACGGGGATCCTATGAGGATTGATTACTCAGGTGTTCATAGTAAATACATCATTCCTTTAGAATGGAAGTTCTCACTATGGAGTTATTTTGCCCCCCAGGAAATATTTGGCAATATCTTGAGACATTTTTGGTTACCACAACTGGGTGGAGGAAGGGATGGATGCTACATTTATCTAGTGAGTAGAAGTCAGGGATGCTGTTGAACATCCTACAATACATAGGACTGTCCTTCGCAATAAAGAATTATTCATTCCAAAATGTCAATAGTGCCAAGGCTGAAAATTCTGCTCAAGAGATTTATTTGTACTGGCCCTTGGATGTCTGCCCTCCAAACTATTCCCTCATCAATTCTAAAATATGCATGAGAACTTAGTTAATGTGTTGTTGAATTATGCAGTAATTAAGAGCATGAACTTCAGAGTTGAATGGCGTGTGTTTGAGTCCTGGTCAATAAGATGTGCGACCTCTGCTCACTTATCATCCTCTCCAAACTTCAACTTCTTCATATACAAAGGCTAACAACATCTCTAAGGTTTATGGCGAGGACTCAAGTGCTAGTAAAAGTATTAAATGAATTGTGGTGAAAATGAATAAAAGGGATGGAACTAGATACCTTGTAATAACAGTATCTCTGTATTATTGTGTAAGCAGATATGCATGAAGCTTAAGTATTTGGCCCTGTGCCTGGTGTTCCATTTCATACTTCTTACCTTGAATGTATTGCTAAAGCTTCATGCTCATTTTTTGTCTCCTGATTTTTTCACTTATCAACAATCATTAGCATTGCCACCATAACCACAGAGGTTAAACCAAGAAAGGAAGAAAAAAGGATATATTTACAAAATTGCTGCTGAATTGAATGTTTTACTTACTTACAAGCACACTGAACAAAGAGTTGCACATATTACAATAAAAGGAACACAGTACTTATAGGGTTTACATGTATTGTTACTAATACTGATGTGAGAATGGCATTCGTCGTTTTGTTTGAGCTTTTGTGCGGAAGACTGTAGAGAGTAGAAAGTGGATTTTATTACATGTTAAGATAGGACATGGCCTTATATTCCAACTGAATTATAATCATATAGGCATATTTTTGATGTCATGATCAGAAAGTCATCTTAGTGTCTTCAATTTTACCTTACAAACTTTGAAATGATTTATTTCAAACATTATGTCTAATATAAATATACCTATGTATGTGTATATATGTATATATATGCATATATATATATGGCTTATGTTGTAAAGACATTGCATTTTTGGAGTAGGGAATGACCTTATAAGTCATCTAGTATAGTTATTTTGTTTTACAGATAAAGAATCTAAGGCCCATATAGGCAGACTAATGTTTAAAGTCTATCTTAAAGGAATATGTCTGAATATTTCTTGAATTCATACATTGTGGTTTATTCAAATATCTTGAGGTAAAGAACTTTAAACAATGGACCTTTTCCAAATACTATAACACTAAAGGCAACTTGTGGGCCCAAAGGTGTTAACTAAGCATTATGCAGTGTACAATAATTGGCTCAATTGTAAATCTCATTTGCTGTCTTCTTATGATCTTGGTTAGGATACTTGTTATTTTACCTAATTTTATAGCCTGGGGCTATAAAGAAGCCATGGTTCAATGTTATGTGGTTTAGTATTTCAGAAGTGAAATCAAAGTGGGCACCAATAGTGAGTGAAAATCAAGATGAAGGTCAGATGAAGGGGTATGGAGCATTGAGAATAATTTTCTTCATTGTTTCTTTTTACATTTGGTATTCTTTTATTTTAACATGAACCTTAAAACAAATTGGAAACCTTATAGTTGAACCTCTCTATACTACACATTACTGGCCTAGAAATGAATCATTTGCCTAATCTTCTGACAAGTATGACTTGGATTATTTTTATTTTTTGAGTTTTATGGAAATGCATAGCCCATTAAAAATAATAGATTAACAATATTTTAAAAACATCAAATTCTAAGCAAATCATGATTTTAGAATAATGAACATATATTTTGGAGATAAAATGAAAAAAATGGATTCACTACAAAGTTGGGTTTTTTTCCTAGTTACCAATGAATCAGGCTCCATTGTGTCTCATCATTCATTATTTGATTATAGTCAATATAAAGTGAAAAAAACACAAGCAGTGTAAAGATGTACAATCAGTTTTAATAATAAAAGGCACCAAATAAATTTATTCCGCACCTGTAATGTCCCTGCTGGTATTTTCACATATGTTGACAAACATGTGAAAGACTAGTGTTTAGAAGTGAGATCATAACGCTAGAAATTAGAGCATCTTTCTTAGTCTAAATTCCATCACAGTATCTGGGTTAAAATATGCAGTGGGATTTATTCTTCAGTTCTTTATTTATTTCAAAAGTAAGAACAGAATATAGAAGTTACAGGAATTGTAGAACTATGCTAATTTTTTCTATATAGTAAGACCATATTTTGAACTTACTTAGATTGCTTCAGAGAAAAATATGCTTTTTGCAATAATTATTCTGGTAGTTTCATGAAATAACATATAAAGTGCCTGAAAAATTGAATGACAATGGTATTTATTGGAATGTCATTTCCTTTTCCTTTATTGATATGAAGTAATACTTTCACTGATAAAACAGTTTTGGAGATTCAATTATTTAACACTTAGAGCATCGTATCTCTATCTCTATCTCTTTCTCTCTTCCTCTCTCCTTCCCTTTCTCCTTCCATTTCTCCCTTTTGTGCACTCATGCATGAGGATGCGTAATTCTTAAAGTTAATAAAGCCTGGGTGTGGTGGCTCATGCCTATAATTCCAGCAACTTGGGAGACCTAGGTGGGAAGATCACTTGAGCCCAGCAGTTCAAGACCAGTCTATGCAACATAGTGAGCTCCTGTCTCTACAAAATATTTTAAAAATTAGCTGGGCATAGTATCATGTGCCTGTAGTCCTAACTACCTGGGAGGCTGAGGTGTGACGATCACTTGAGCCCAGGTATTCAAAGTTGCAGTGAGCTGTTTATTATTTATAATAATAAATAAATAATAAAGTTAATAAAAACACACTTTAGCAGGAAAACAAGGATTTGAATGTTGACTTACTTGAGTCTCAGTCTATTTTCTATACTATAATGGCATGTTCCAAATTATGTCTTTTAGAATATTTTTTCTGTGGAAATATAATGCTACATAAAAAAAGTTCATTGTCAAACTGGTAGATACTGATTTAAAGTCTTTCTTATAGGACTTCTCAGTGCCTTTAGTATCTTTATATGAGCTATCAATTTTGAAGAAAGCATATTATTATTTGAGTGTTCCAAACTTATTTTCCAAAGAATGCACATGTGCCATGAAATATAATTTTGGGAGGTACATTCCACTTCAGAATTTAAGTAATAGAAAAAAAATCTGTAAAAATTAGCTGTTTCAATTAGCAACATCAAGAAATCTAGGTACTCAGGGCCTCAATTCAAAAGCAGAGAATTAAATATTCAAATAGAGAAGAAAAGATGCATTTCATTTTTTAGAGGGCTTGTTTTAGTTATCTTTCCATTAAAACCTGTAGTTTAATTTTTTTTAAGTTTTCTATTGAAACTACTCTGTCAGTACTAATGTGGTCAGCTTTGATGTTAATTTTATTGTTGAATTTTAAACAAGAGTAATTTTCTTTTGGTGGTAACAGGATTTATTTTAATAAATAAGTAGATTAATTTATTTCATAGATATATGATAAATATATCTATATATTTCATAAATAGATGAATGAATGAATGAAATCTCTAAGCTGGCTACAGTGTCCTTCACCATGTGCTTCTGTTACTAAGTTCTACCTTCTTATCAATCAGGCAGCATTTGGTCATTTCATGAATTATTCCCCGTGAACGCCCTTTCATTCTTTCTTCTTTCTCCTAACATTCATATCCCAAGAGAAGTTAAAATGAAAAATGAATGAGCTTGTGTTCTCCAATCCATGGGATCTGTGATCAGACCTGTAAACAGCTAAGAAAAGCCCCTATTCAACATATACAACAGAAAAAGACTGAACTATCACAGGAAGAGTATGCATAGAGAAAGGCTGTGTCCTGTGCAGCCCACTCCGTGATCCTTGATATCACTGTATTTGTTTCTGAAAGCCACGTCTTAAAAATATTTGAGCCAGTAGCTGAGCAAGTTCCAGCTGCTAGTCAGAAGTTTTTTGCTTGAACCAGATTTTAAGTCCAGCACTTCAAGTGGAGAGTCTACAAACCAATCAGCAGGAGAATTTTCTGCAGATCATAGAGCATGTTGTTATGCCTTCTGGAAGGAGGAGGGGAGAATCAGATAAACCATGTGACTGTTAAAAATTGAACTGCAGTGTGGAATTCATACACTGGAGGTCACAGGATATCAATAATTCCCCTTAAACTGGTAATTTACTGTCATTTCTATTTTGGCCCATTTTCTCCTATACTGCTTCATTACTTCAAGGCCATCTTTTCTTTTTTTGGTGGCGGGGAGAGGGGAGCTAAAAAAAAAATATAATCTCATGGGAATAAAGAGTAGCTTGATGATTATCAGAGGCTGGAAAGGGAAGTAGGGAGAGGGGGATAAAGAGCGGTTGGTTAATAGGTGCAGAAATATAGTTAGATGGAAGGAATAAGAGCTAGTGTTTGGTGTGGTGACTATAATTTACAGTAATTTAATGTGTATTTCAAAATAACTGGAAGAGTGGAATTGAATGTCCCAAACACAAAGAAATATTATATATAAGTATTACCTAGTCCATCTTTTTTTTTTTTTTTTTTTTTTGAGACAGAGTCTCGCTCTGTCGCCCAGGCTGGAGTGCAGTGGCACGATCTCAGCTCACTGTAAGCTCCACCTCCTGGGTTCACGCCATTCTCCTGCCTCAGCCTCCCGAGTAGCTGGGACTACAGGCGCCAACCACCATGCCCGGCTAATTTTTTGAATTTTTAGTAGAGACGGGGTTGCACTGTGTTAGCCAGGATGGTCTCGATCTCCTGACCTTGTGATCCACCCGTCTTGGCCTCCCAAAGTGCCATCATTTCTTAATTGAAATGTGCCTGCACATTTTTTCTTGCAAGCTCTCAGATGTTCTAAATGGCAGTTTCCTTTTCTATAATACAAGATTCTAAAGAATAATTAAAGGCAGCGAGAAAAGAATCAACTGTGTATTTTAGCTTAGTCAATACCACAAAACTTGACAGAAAATTGACAAATATGAGAAAGGCTGGTTGGGGTTGGGGGGTATTAAATAAATTTCCCTGGCTTGCTAATTTCTTACTAAAATGGCCAAAGAATTCTTGCAACTGGTAGGGGCCTTTCTCCAGTTTGAGTAGTTCATCAGCTGCTCAGAACCCCATCTGACATCCATCAAAACCCAGCTAGGTTCATTTAACCTAATAGTTCTACTTCCTCTGTGTTTAAGACCTATGCTCATCTGAGACTAGGACCTTCCTTGCCTCTGGCAGCAAATCTACCTGCTGGAAAAAAAAAAAAAAAAAGAAAGAAAGAAAGAAAAGAAAATTAAAAGAAAAAGAAAATGCTCCTTAAATTGTCTCTTTCTCAGGCTGAACTAGCTGGAGGTAGGATTGATTTTCCACACTTGGAAATTGCAAATGCTACACAGCCAAGCCAAAACCTTTATAAAGCAACCAGGTAGGTTCTACAGGGCTGAACAGTCAGCAGGCTTTCTATCTCGATACTGAATGGACCAAGTGAACATTTTTCTCTAAACATCTTAGGTTGATGGGACTTTTACAAATTTCTCTTGTACAAATACAGATGGTTTTACTAAGAGAATATCAACTTTAAATCTTTAAATCTAAGGAAATCTAATTTTATAATCCGTGGGATTGAGAACAGAAGGAGAAGTAAGTCATACGATCACACTTACTATCGTTTTCCTGGAAAGCTGTTACCTGGTGATGCTAGTGAAATGGCCCTAAACATAGGATGGCTGTAGAATTTGGAGGACTCATTTTAGTACTCCCAAAGATTGTTTGGAGGCTCTCCAGCCTCTCTTCTTGTACTACCATTAAAACCCATGCAGAGAGCTATTGATTTAATGTGTATTTCTCCAAATTTGCTTATTTCATGCACCAAGACTAGAGCCCTGACTTTGAAAGATGGTGCATGTAATTATTCCCATTTATAAGTTGTAGAAATACGTTTCTGGTTGAAAATACAACAGAGGCATATCAGGGATACAAGACTTAAGAAGGTGGAATTTTCAAGGTGTGACAATCTGTGGAACACCAAACAGAAGTTAAGAGATCTACCAGATATTGTTAAAGTGCAATAAAGAGAGCTAGAAAATTTCACAATTATTTACCTGCTGACAGTATTTTCCCCCATTGATGGGTGACTGAGATATATAAAGGTTCTAAGTTCTGAGCTGCCGAGGAAATTCTTTTCTCCTTAACTGTGTCCTTTTTTCTTACTTGGGTTCATTCTCTCCGTGAAGTCATTACTCATTTCCTCAGCCCACAGTGTCCCCTCTCTTTAACAGAACTCTTATTTTACTCCAAGTGCCAGAGCCTTTAGCCCTTAATTGCCCACTTCTCTGTGATTTATGCAGCTTAGCTTTTGTTTTTCTGGTGAGTGTATCAATTCTTTGAAGACAAGGGTTACGTTTTTCACTGTTACCGTGCCCACTGAAGCACCTTGACATAGTCCTAAGATATACACTAGGATCCCATTAAGCACATGTTTATTGATTAACTAATTGCTGCTCCTTTATAAAATTTAGATCCCTAGCCATTGTGCTAATTTAAAAGAAGTTGTGTCCCTCAAATAGAAATTGGAAGCAAAATTCGGAAAAATCAGGACAACAGAAGATGAAGAACCTGGCTCTCACTGGGCCTTTGCTTCAGCATGGAGAACAGTCAGATTTTCACACCCAAGCTCTTATCATCAATGATTGAATATGTGAGAACTGTGTCCTATGTAAAGAACCAGAACCTTTCACTGCATCAAATGTTAAAAGAAAATCAGGCATCAGATCTAATTAATAATAGTACAAAAGCCAATTTCGCAGCCCATTACTTCAAGCAGCCTGGTACTAGAAAATTGAAGGGGGTGCTTAAACAAACATGGGCGTTCATGTTTGTGGTCTTTATAGTGACCCATAGACAAATCAGAGAAAGTATAGCTTCTTTGTGTTCTCTCACCAGCTGAAGGTTTTTGGCTCCATTAATCCAGGGTCTAACACAAAGGAAAAAGAGTCAGGAGAAAATTTAAAGCCCAACCTCCTCAGTTTGCTTCATTAATAAGACTACAAACTCTTCCTCAGGTTCCTCCTTCCTTTACCCCTCCTTTTCTCTTTCCATTTCGTTTAACTGAAGGCAATTCATCTCATTTTAATTAATTTTTACTTGCAGCATTATCACCCTGAGTATAAAGGCAAAAAGTTTTTTTTTAATTACAAAGCTAACGGCATTAATTACTAGTACTGTAAATGCATCAGCGCACAAAAGCCGAGTGGGTTCCAAGGAGCTGAGGCAGCAATTGGTGAACATTTCAACAACTGGAAAAGGCTTAGTCACAAAGGAGAGACCTTTCTATGGTAACATTATGAAAGCTGTCTTCACACTGATTGAGCCACTGTTTAATTGAAGGTGACATAGCCTATGGACTAGAGACAGCACTATTGCATTACAGGAAAAAGGTTATTCACAGAGAGTCTCTCTGGACTTCTTGCTGAGTCTACTGTCATATGGGAACCAAGAAATCGAATTTTGAAATATATGAAAACAGCTACAATAGCATAGCAGTATGATAGGTATAAGTATAATGTCAAACATCCTTCTTTTTACCATCCATTCACTTTTTGCTGTACTAATTTAGAAGCAATCTCATGTGCTAAAAAGCTAAAACTCAATACTGAAGCCCTAACTAGGAAGGACTGCCCAACGTTGAGTATTTCTGAGATCAGAAAATTTCTGTACTAATCTATCAAAGACAAAAAAAAAAAGTATTCTACCCACAAGTGTGAAAGACTCAATAAGTGCATTCTACAGCCCAAGTATCTGTGTTCTTGCAACTTGTGTGTATTCTTTGGCAATCAAAATGTCATGAGGAAATATTCCTGCCACTTTAGAGACAGCTCATAAAACAAGTGGACCCCTGTTTCTGCCTCAACACTTTCTTATTCTTCTGCCAAAGGATTTTTCTGTGCCTCTTTCTCTGCTTACAGCACAGTAATCATTTTTCAGTCATTCTTCTTTGTTCCCAAATATTTGTAAATGCCAAATGTATAATCTTCCACCCACCACCCCATCTCCTTATAATTCAGTTACCCTCTCTTTCTTTCCATTACATTTTTTAGTCAATAACTGCTATGCTCCTGAAAAGATAACTGTGCCCCCTGTACAATCTGAAATTATTTAGGGAAAAAGAAAATCTGGCCTAATGACTCCTGAAGACCTTGAAAATACCCTTAAATCTTTGGAAACTCTACCAAAGATACCATATCTCTGATCTTCTTTGAGTTTTGTCATCTTTTTTAAATATGTGAAATACAAATACAAATGGTACTTTTAAATTTTATTTTAGAGTTCTATTTTTATTTTTGAAAGTGTATATTAATTGATTTTCTTCTGTAAATCTAAGTTATTTCATAGTGATTTCATGTAAAAGTAGCATTTGTGGTCTTATCTGTGAACTTAAACACAAATTATAAGTGTTCCTGTGGGAAAACTGTGTTTCCAGTTCCGAACGACTGAATTAAAAATGAAATTTTGGAATGTGTGCTTTGTATGTTGGCAATTGCCTGTATCTATTCATCTTCAAGAATTCAACTTAATGATATCCACTAGCAAATTCATCTCTAGCCTATCAACATTTTTAAAAAGCAGGGATTTCCAAACAATTTTAGCTTCATGGTTTAGATTTTACTTAGACTCTGAGAATATATTATGACTTCTAGATTTCCTCTTTTTTCTTAAGTAAATAAATCATGTTCAAAGGATGTAAGAGAAAGGAGAGGCAAGTATTTTTGTTTGTTTTTCTCTGAATATCTGAATTTCATAGAATAACACTATACTTCTCCCAAAAGAAACACTTTCAAGATAAGTTATGTTGTCTTTTCTTTTGTAAAATTCCCATGAAAAAGCTTACAAACCATACTTCAAAAAATAAAGAAAATTAATTGCTGACTTTGTTCCAATTTTTGAGAAATGTGACATTTATTTGGATTTGAACTTGTCAAGTGTTTTTACTACTTGTTTAATCCAAATGAGTTCACTGATCCCTAGAGAAATGTGATAGAACTGATATTTTCCAAGTGGTTCCTGAAGTTATCATTTGAAAGAGCCTGTAGGAAATACTGGATGAGATATTGAATATACCACCTGCTTTCCCTAATGCCTCCAGGTTTCTCAATGAGTACAGAGGGGATTAATGCTAATCTCCCTTTGAGAGCCCGGGCTAGTTTTCTTATAGTACCCACATTTGATTTACTTGACATTTTTCCAAATGATAACACTTAGAATTGGCCTCTCTTATTTTGCTAAATTGTTTTTACATTTAATAACAAAGTGATCTCCGCTTCTACCACAATAACAACACAGCAATACTGGTAAGAATCATAGTAATAGTTACAGCTGTCATTTATTGTGTACTTACTCCATATATTTACCACTATATTGGACTAATCAATTTCTAGGTTCATTTAATCATCATATCAGGTATACACTATGTTACGTATACCCTCATTTTACATATGAGGAAATTGATATCCAGAGAATTTAGTGATTTTGTCTAAGGTTGACATGATTGGGCATTAGTAGGGGTGAAACCTGAACTCAAACCTAAGTCTGTCAGATTTCAGAGGCTGAGTTGTGATTATTCTAGTGATAGTAATGATAACATTGTACATTCTAAATTTAGGGATGTTATTTCTACTTTGGCATATCCTTTAAGAACAATTAATATATGTTTAGTCTTAGCAATATTGATTTATCAATAAGTACTATTGTAGAAAACTTTATGAAGAGTATCTTTTCTAATACATTGCAATCTCTACAAGAAGAGTTTTGATGAATATTAGAAAAATTGTGGACCACATAAGGACAATTTTTAAAGGTTTAAAGAAATCAACAGGAATGATGTCCTTCCTCTCTCCCATTAGAAGGCAAAGTCTACTAATAATTTCACATCTTCTGTTTCGGGCCAGGCTTAGGCTACCTTTAAAAAGTAATACTCAGACTGTGGTCACTATTTACAAGCATATAGCAATGCATTTAAATAGTTACGGCCCTGTATATGGTTAATATTAATTAGACAAGTGTAGAATGTTTTATCTTCAGTCTCCTTTAGACCAATATCAGTCTGACTGAATTTCTATGTTTAAAATCAGTTATTGTGTCACTAGGCAAAATCATGTAGTTAAAAGTTATGACCATTTAAAATGTGAATCAATTATTTCCATTCTTCTGTTTATTATTTAATAAACTCCAAATAGGAATATCTCTTCCATATGTGAGCAGTCACCCAAAAAGTCATCCATACATTGGCAGGGGAGGGAAAAAAAAGGAACTACGGAGCAAGATGATAATAGGAAAAATAAGAGGAGAGATAAAAAAAAATGGAGAAGGGTAAGAAAAGGAGACATTTTATTCTGAGAGAAAAAATAGGTTGACTGAAAAACATATGTTCAACATCAGTTAAGCAGATTAAAGCTGGACTTTGGATGTAAGCTATACTCATTGATTTAACAAATATTAGTTTACTGTCTGATTCGTATTTGGTATTGTGCTAAGTTTATAGTAATGAAGAAAGTGGATATGGAAAATGGCTGGAAGCCAAGAGAAGGAAGTAAAACTTAACCCACAAATACTATATAAATATATATTATAATTAGTGCTATGATGGGACTTTAGCTGGGAGATATTTCTGAGATTAAATGGTCAGATAAGACAATTTGAAAGAGTGACTAAATTGAGACTAGAAAGATGAGTAGGCTCTACTTGAGTGTAGTACAGTACAAGGGAAGCTATGTAGGTGTAGTTTACAAGCATATGGGTAGATTTTCCTTGAAAATGTTAGTAATGGTAGCAGAGTCATTTTATGAATCCTAAAAAAGTGACTATGTGATAATATAGATGCATCACTATAAAGGGGACTTGATTTTAGAGGAACCTGAAGCACAGTGGCAAAACCAAAGGCCACTTTCAGGAAAAAAAAACACCTTCAATTCCTTGGATGTCAGGGACAGACAAAATCAGAATAAAATGTTGGTTATGTATTTCTGAAAAAAAATTCCCAGCTTTCACCTTGTTACAAAGTGGAGGGAGAAGGAAGGGCTACAAAAGGCAACTCAGTGGTGGCGTGTGAGGAGCTTGGGTGAGAGAAAACTCACGGAGCCCAGTTCCTCACGATCCACTGCAGGACAGGTTGGAAGAGGTAGACTTCCTGTTATCATATGCAGCCATGCACTTTATGAAGCCTAACTGTGACGTGTCTACACGACACACACAAAGTGAAGCCTATCTGTGACATGTCCATTACACATACAACAAAGAGAGAACAATAACCCTTGAAGGGGTTCAACTACCTAATATGTAATTCTGCAAGAATGTGGGCCTTAAAAAGATGAACAACCAATGTTAAATGACACTGATTCCAGAGAAGTGGATTGTCCATATTCCTGGGGCCTTGAGTGCTATTTCAGTGATCAACAGTTAAGTCTGTAAGCCAGAGGATGGTGTCGCTGACAGAGAACAGCTTCTGGTGATAAAACAGAGCAAACAGATGGCTTTATCCCTCTAGCAAAGATCAGCAATGAGATGAGAAGGAACCAAGGGGTGTCAGAAAGAAAATTTTATTTGTTGGGATCACTTTCTAGTAGAAGTGAAATAAATGGCAATTTATCAAACTTTGATCTTGCTCTCCCTGGAATAGATAATCAGCTATTTTCAGAAGCTGAGGAGACTATTATCTGAGGAAAGAACTTGACTATAAAGCATGAGAATGGCACAGCCCAGGACCTAAAGGTCAGGAGAAGAGGTGTTTTGAGGGTTGGGGGGTAAGGAAATCATGGTTACCGTTTTGTATAGCAGCTTACCAAGTTTCAGCAGGGGAGAATTAGAAATAGAATTTGGGAGAAACTTATTGATTGTTCATTAGTTACATCACTAATTTTAACCTGAGGAAAAGGAAGATTTGAGGAGGTACCATGAAAAGCTTTCAATTTGATTTTGAAAAGCAGACAGAAAGATGCACAGAACATAAGTTGCAAAAAGAGCCAATACAAGGTGTAGAGGTGAAAACTATGAGGTTTAAAGCTTTTCTTTTAGATGTTGGAAGATGATTTGTAAGATTGTTTATTTATTTGCAAAACTGATTGTTATTTTAGTTAAAGAACCAAACATCATAATATAAGAGTGCTTAGGGGAACACTTTTTGCTCACGATTTAAATACTTTTAATTGCACAGAAAAAAAAAAAACAATAATATACTAAATACCCAAATATTCAATTCCTAGGCTTAACAACTGCTATTATTTTGCCATGTAATCGATATTTGATGATGCATTTTAGTCAATTAAAGACATTATATTTAACCCAAAGGAGTCAAATTTTGAATGTCAACAAAGTATATTTTTCTACATAGCCTCAATACCATGTCACATCTAACACAAATAGCAATAATTTTGTTATTTGTAATAACGTTTACTAGAAGGGTTGTATTAGTTTCCTGGTGCTGCTATAACAAATTACCACATACTGGGTGGTTTAAAACAATAGTTTGGGAGGCTGAAGTCCACAGTCAAGGTGTGGCAATGATGTGCTCCCTCTGACGGCTCTAGAGGATAATCCTTCCTTTTCCTCTTGCGACTTCTGGTAGCTCCCAGAATCCCTTGGCTTGCGGCAGTATACCTCCAATCTCAACCTCGGTTTAAAATGTCCTCTGCTATGTCTCTTTGTGTCTTCTCTTATAAAAATACCAGTCATTAAATTTAGGAACCACCCTAAAACCAAGATGATCTCGTCTCAAGATTCTTAACTACCTCTGCAAAGAACTTACATCCAAATAAAGTCACTTTTATGGGTACTGGGAGTTAGTACTTGCACATATCTTTTGTGGGGGCCACTAGTGAATCTACACATTGTCCATATTCAAATTTCCCTCAAATGTCCCTTCATATCTGCTTTACAGCTGGTTTGCTGACATTCTTGTCAAATTCCTTATTTTATGAGACAAAATCAGTTATAATCTGAGAAAATCTGTCTCTGATCAATAAATCAAAATATGTAGATTCATTATTTTAAAAATATGTATTAAAACTAAGTACTTGCTATAGGCAAGGCTTACTGTTCTAGGTGCTGGTCATATAGTGGTGACCAAAATAGAGAGTCATTTGGAAGATCATTCGAGGGCTGGTAGCACTATCACAGAGTAACATGACCTCACAAGTGTTGCTTCAAGCTGAATAAGCTCAAGAACTACGGCTTCCATGCAGGGATTTAAGATTGCCTATTCCATTGTACCTTTTGACTGGTATAAGCTTGACAAGCCTTTCTCTCAGGTGTCTAAATTTTTGTCATGTGTTATTTCATAGTTACATGTTTATAGGCACTTTATAGACCAAAACGATAAATTATGAACTAGAACGTGAACACGTTGTGAAGATATGCAGAAAAAAAGGAAACATTTTTAGACCCAGAAAAATATATCCCTGTTCCAATCTGAGTTGCATTACCTAGTTCTGAGTTCTGTATCCTTCTATCAGATTCCATTGCAATCTGCCAGTGAGTTGAACAGTTATTCTAAAAGGAAAGGCAGCAACCAAGGATGAGTCTATGCATTTTTTAAAAAGAAGTCCTTAGAAGCATGATTTTTAATATTGTTCACCTGTTTCTTGGATGTGTTATGCAAATGACTGAGTAAAGAAATCTTGTAAAATGCTTGAGGATTCTTGGGTGAAGGGTCTAATTAAGTGAGCATTACTATTTTTATTATTTTCTGGGCATGGAGTAAAATAATTATAGCTGGATAACATGAATAGTTGTTCCTTGAAACAGCTAACCTGGCAGCCTAGTAGGGAGGTTATGATCTTGAACTTGTAAGCCTAGTTGAGTCATTAAGCAGCAGAGAGCACAATCTAATTAAATTTGACATACTCACATGTGGAATCAGACCCACAGGTAGTACTACAGCATGGAATTTCAGGAAAGTTTTTTTTTTTAAGAAAGTTCATTAGAAAGAGACTGAGGGGAAAAGTTTGAAATGAAAATTTATTAAATCAGCAAAGAAGCCACTTTAAAATATTCCCCTGGAGGAAGAATTAGAGCTGTGAAAGTATCAGCAATTTCCAAAGGGTTATACAATCTTCTCTATATAGTTTGTATGCATAAAGGGTCAGACCTCAGGCAGCAGCATTGTGGGACTGGAATCACCATGAACCTTAAGAAGACTCTCATATAGTTAAATGCTGTCACTTTCAAACCTGTCATTAGGGAACTTGGCACTTTTTATCATTAAACAAATGTACTATAGTGTCAACATTAAATACCATCCTCAGAAGAATGACCTACAGTATCACCACTTTAATAAAAACTGTAAGTTTCACATTTTTATATTTCTTTCAAATCTCTATGTGAATACTGTTGAGATACTAGCATGCAAATTGTTTTACGGTCTGTTTTTCTACTTAAAATGATAGTCTCAATATTTTCAGTAGTTTTCTTATTCTTACATATTTTAAATCTAAGTGGCTTCATATTATTTTAATGAATTGATAAGCCACATTAAATTTATCTCCCAATTTTGGACATTTAGAATAGTTCTAATTTTTGATTATTATAGCTACATTTGCAATTAATTTTTGACTGGTTAAAACAGTTCCTGGTATAGTGTAAGTGCTCAATAAATATTTGATAAGGAACTAAATACAATTACTTTTGTCTTTTCTTAGCTAGTATTTCTAGAAATGTCATTCTGATTTTGGAATTTCTATTACTTATTCAAAGTGTCATATACTGTTACCATGTCACCAAATTATATCTGTATTCTTTAGTTTCAACCTCTTAAGTATTTTTTATCTGTTAAGCAAACGCTTAAAAATGCATCTGGGCTAAAACTTCCTTAATTTGCTTTCTTGGCATTGTGTCTATTACACTAGAGAATACTTTACACCCTTTGTGCAGTTTATGTATTTTGAGGCCGGGCGCGGTGGCTCACGCCTGTAATCCCAGCACTTTGGGAGGCCGAGGCAGGCGGATCACGAGGTCAGGAGATCGAGACCATCCTGGCTAACACGGTGAAACCCCATCTCTACTAAAAATACAAAAAAAAATTAGCCGGGCATGGTGGCGGGCGCCTGTAGTCCCAGCTACTCGGGAGGCTGAGGCAGGAGAATGGTGTGAACCCGGGAGGCAGAGCTTGCAGTGAGCCGAGATCGCGCCACTGGACTCCAGCCTGGGCGAACAGAGACTCCATCTCAAAAAAAAAAAAAAAAAAAAAAAAAAAAAAAAAAAAGGAGAGGATGAAAGGTGAGCAAAAAAGAGCAGCAGACTCAAAGAAGATGTTGATTTCCTTCAGAGAGCCCACTCCTGGCTTCTATAAAATGGTACATGTTGACTTTTCCTCTCTTCCTTTCCCATGCCCCAGCCTATACTTTCTGTTCACAGAACAAAACTCTCAAACATAGCTCTTATTTTACGGACTTCACACCCAGACTGAAAGTCCAACGAACAAAAGTAGGATGGAAAATTATGAGTTTAAGCCTTTTTCCTACCTCACATTTAAATCGGTAGATATAAAAATGTGTTCATGCCCTGAAGGGGACATTTTTTAAAAGTTTAAAATGAGCACCAAGTAAGTAGTTATTAAAAAGCAGCTTCATCCATGGCAAGCAACTGTCAACCCATAGGATGCAGCACTGTGGGCATTAAAAAAAAAGTATCTAATTGATTTGGTTTTTTTTTTTTTTGAAGTCATAAAATAGGGATAACATCATAGGATATGTGAGCCAGAAGTCTTAGGAATCCCCCTCCTTTTACACATGAAGAACCACGCCCAGAGAGTTAACATGGTTCTCAAGATCTCAATTTGTTAGTGTTGGAGGAGGATTAGAACCCGGATCAGTAGGCTTGTATAAACCCATCTTTAGGGATCTTACTCCTAGAAAGAGAAGCAGCCACCAATATCAAGTGATGGAGAATGGAGGTGAGTCCAATGGAGTGGGAATGGCTTCTCAGAACCAGCTCATAAGAGATGCTTCATAATTGTCCTTTGAATAAATCCCCATGTGGCCAAAAAGTCTTTTGAGAAGAATAAACAGAAAAAGATCAGGACAGTGTGTTTGCCACCCCTCACCTACACACACACACACACACACACACACACACACACTTCTTTTTAGGATCACGCAGAATGTTGCACATAGAGGTTTTCAATCTGTTCTCTGTAAAGTTAATTGTAAGTGTTCCTTCGCATCTCTCCAGGGCGAGAGTGAGGATGGAAGTAGTGAGACACCAGGATCTTCACTGGTGCGTTAATCAGAACAGCTCTGCCAGAATATATTGCATATATCAATGGTATGTGTAAGAATCTGTGTTCATGAAGGTTCTGCCTTTCTCACACAAACAGAGAGACTTTTCTAGATTTTTCTGTCTAGAAGGACACACACAGGCATGTACACAAACACATGTCTTTGGAAATCACTGATCTAGACAATCTATCTCACTTTACAGACAAATGAGTGGAGGCTCATACAAGTGGAATGGCTGAATGACTTCCCTAGCTAGTTCAGAGCGTAGCTAGTTCAGAGCTGGGATGGGAGAGTGGACAAGGCTATAGCTTGGAATCCTGAGGTTCTTGGTTCACCACTTGCCTCCATTAGTTCATCATGTGTGTTAACTTGGGCAAGAGTTAACTTGCAGAGTCTCAATTTTCTTGTATACAAAATGGGGTTAATTGCATTTTTCTCTAGGCAAATTTTAAGATAAAATGAAGCAGTATATGTAAACAAGTAGTTTGTATATTTTAAATAAATGTTTCGGTTATATATATTGCTGCCCCTTTCCTTTTTTTTTTTTTTTTTTTTGAGACAGAGTCTCGCTCTGTCACACAGGCTGGAGTGCAGTGGCACACTTGGCTCACTGCAAGCTGCACCTCCCGGCTTCACGCCATTCTCCAGCCTCACCCTCGCAAGTAGCTGGGACTACAGGCGCCCGCCACCACGCCGGGCTAATTTTTGTATTTTTAGTAGAGATGGGGTTTCACCGTGTTAGCCAGGATGGTCTCGATCTCCTGACCTCGTGATCCGCCTGCCCCGGCCTCCCAAAGTGCTGGGATTACAGGCGTGAGCCACTGCGCCCAGCCGCTTCCCCTTTTCTTAGTCTCAGAACCAAGACTGGAACCATGCTTCCTGAATCTGACTTAATGTTCTTTTGACTACAGAATGGCTGCTTATTCTGGCCATGTCAACATTGTTCTCCTATCCACCGTGCTTGATTACAGTAGTAGATAAGTGGCCCCCAAATCCCTTATCTCATTCTTCCATTCCAGTTTGATCCTAAAACTCTTAAATGTATGATGCTCGAGAATCCGTAATGATTGCTCCATCATACAACAAATCCTGACACCTGAAAGGAATAAGAAATTGATATTGCAAACTATGTGCCATCTCCAATGCTTGGCAACTCAAAATGTCCCTAAGTCCCAATAGTCACTTTTCCAATGACTGTTAAATTATCCTCTATTAAACATTTTTCCACTTATGGTTTCTTTTCTAACTTCAGCTGCCCCAGCCAAGTGCCACTCTTCCTTTGGTACTTTGTTCCTTTTAGAAGTATCTTTTGTGTGTGTGTGTGTGTGTGTGTGTGTGTGTGTGTGTGTGTGTGTCATATGCAAATGACAAGGCAAAATGGCAAGATACTTTATTAAAATAATGTAGTTATAGTTTCTCCACATCCTCACCAACCCTTATCTTCTGTTTTTTTATAATAGTTATTTTGAGAGGTGTGAGGTGATATCTCATTGTGTGTGTGTGTGTGTGTGTGTGTGTGTTTTGAGATGGAGTCTCACTCTGTCACCCAGGCAGGAGTGCAGTGGCACAGTCTCAGCTCACTGTAACCTCTGCCTCCTGGGTTCAAGTGATCTCCTGGCTCAGCCTCACAAGTAGCTCCGAATAGCTGGGACTACTGGCATGTGCCACCACACTGGCTAATTTTTGTATTTTTAGTAGAGACAGGACTTCACCATTTTCCCCAGGCTGGTCTCAAACTCCTGACCTCAGGTGATCCACCCATTTTGGCCTCTCAAAGTGCTGGGATTATAGATGTGAGCAACTGTCCCCGGCTCATTGTGATTTTGATTTGCATTTCTCTGGTAATTAAAGATTATATATATGTCATTTTTATGTCCTATTTGGAGAAATGTCTCTTCAGATACCTAGCTTATTTGTAATATTAGTTTATTTTTTTGAGTTATTTGTATTAGTTTCTTATATATTTTGGATATTATCCCCTTATCAGGTATATGGTTTACAAATATTTTCTTCCAATCCATAGGTCGCCTTTTCACGTCATTGATTATTTCCTTTGCTGTGCAGAAGGTTTTTAGTTTGATGTAGTCCCACTTCCTTACTTTTGTTTTTGTTGTCTGGATTCTTGGTAAGGTGTTGGTGGGAATGCAAAATGGTGTAGCCACTATGAAAACCAGTACGGAGGTAATTCAAAAAATTAAAAATGGAACTACCATATGATCCAGAAATTGAATTATAGGTATGTATCCAAAATAAGTAAAATCAAGATCTCAAAGAGATACTAGTTAGCACTCCGATGTTCATTGCAGCACTATTCACAATACCCAAGCTGTAGAAACAAACTAAATGTCCATTAACAGATAAACAGATAAAGACAGTTTGGCATATACACATACAATGGAATACTATTCAGCCTTTAAAAAGGAGATTCCACAATATGGTACAACATAGATGGGCCTTGATGATATTATGCTAAGTGAAATAAGGCAGTCACAGAGAGACAAATACTACATGATTCATTTATTTGAGGTATCTAAAATAATCAAATTCACAGAATCAAAGGGTGGTTGTTGCTAGGGATCAGAAGCAGGGGAAAATGGGGAATTACTAATCAATGTGCATAAAGTGTCAGTTAAGCAAGATTAATAAGCTTTAGAGATCTGTATTGTACTATATGATATGGTACTTATAGTAAGCAATAATGTACACTTAAAATTTGTTAAGAGAATGGATCTCATGTTAAGTGTTCTTACCACAATGAAGTAGAAAAAGTATATGGTTCTTTTGTACTTGGGTTCAAAAGCAGAGGCATACATTGTTACCAATAGAAAATTTGAACCCACTCAGAGTAAGTTGAAAAGCTAAGGACTGATTTCATGGCATTAAAAATGAAAGCAGCCCAGCACGGTGGTATGCAACTTCAGTCCTAGCTACTTGGGAGACTGAGGTGGAAGGATCAGGAGGTTCACTTCAGCCCAGGAATTTGAGGCTTCAGTGTGCTGTGATCATGCCTGTGAATAGCCACTGAACTCCATCCTGGGCAATACAGTGACACTGTCAGCTCAAAAAAGTAAAAGGGAGAGGTAGTCCATTTAGTAGAGAAACACCTGGTAATGTAAGGTTATCAGTGAACTCCGTACATTATTGCTGGGCACAAAGAAGTCATCAATGTTGTACACTGGGAAGTGAATTTGACAAATCTATATTAAAACTGTTGACAGGTTGTGGGAGGGGAAAATGGAAATTCAGTGGTGGCGAGGAGTGGTTTAAGTTACACAGCAAATTTGTGAATATAGTCTGGTGACAAATAACCAGGAAAAAAACCCAGTGTTGCTGTACTTTCTAAAACAGAATTCATCAGATAAAGCCTGTCACAATTTATTGCAAATCACAGGTAGTATACATAGGTAGAATGTTGATAATTGATCCATTTTATTTCCTTCTGAGATTGATTACATCATTAGTTTGCATCTTCTTTCTCCTAAATCTAGTAGGTAAGTCTGACTTTCCAAATATCTAATGGGCCTTACTCTTCTTGGAAAATTACAGCATGGAAGGACAACTCCCACTCCTTCTCTTTAATTCTCCCACCCGAACTCTTCGGAATTGTCTTTCATTCCTGAGTACCAAGACCACGGATCCACAGCGCCCATTTTTTTCGGTATCAACAGACTGCTCAGTAGCAACTTCACATGCTGAAAAAGTTTAAGACTAGACATGCTTTATACCAAGTTTAAAAATGTGGTTCTTTTCACCTGAACCACAGTGGGAATAAAAGCCTTCCTCAAATTTTACAAAGGACTCCCTGGGTTATGGCCTGAGGTAGGAGCCCCTCAAGGGTTCTCATGGTCCCCTCTACACCTCCTACCTCAGCAGTTATGCATATATAAGCAGTGTGCTACAGAGATGGGGAACAAAAGTGTCAGGATCAAAACTACCTGATTTTAAACATTAACCTGGGCAAATTACTTAATTTTTCAAATTCTCAGTTTCTCATTCATAGTTGAAGACACTAATATCTCCATAGAACCTTTGTGTGAAATAAATAAGCAAATACTGTGCAAAATGTTTAGCACAGTAATTGGCACATGGGAACACTTTACAATAAGTGAAGAGAAAACTGCAATCCAATGTACTTCTTCTCACAAGCCTGTAGAATGCCTCGAGGCAGAGACTATGTTTTAATATCTGTGCAGAACATAGGAGGCACTTGGTTAATTTGGAAGAAATGAATGCAAGAATGCGTGCATTTGTAAACAAACCATGAAACTGGATCTCAGATAATTAAATAACTTGTTCAAAGTTAGCCATTGTTAGAAAAGCTAGAATTTGAGTCCAGATATATGTTATTTTATGTTGCCAGTCACTCTTCTATAACGTGAATGTGTCTTCAGTTTCTTTAGTTTGTGGATGGTTAGCTTTTGCGTTTTCAAGCATGATTCCTTGAGCTCTACAGGCTTGGTGATGAAAACGCCATAAATCCTTGAGACTTGATATTAAAGTGTTTTGGCTCAATTACCTGCATGAATTTACCTGTTTGGTGAAGGTGGGGGCTCGTACCAGAACAGCCACCAGCAGTGAGAATTAATCTCCCGAGTCTTAATTAAAACAGCCTTTGGAGAATACAACTGCCTCAGAATGTGCCAGAAATTCATTTGAAAGCTTCCCGATTGTGATATTTCCAATGTCAAGAAACTTGGGTGTTTGGAATAAGCTTAGAATAAGAACAGCCTCACTTTAAGTGCTTATCTTAACCACTAAACCATCTGTTCTTCTTCCATCATGGTTCTGAACAGTACATAAGAACAGGCATTCCTCTTCCTGTTCCATTTTGCATCTGAACACGATCTATTTCCAAAGTAGTTTATTTCTCTCCTTTCCCCATCAAGTAAAGCAGAAACTAGCTGTGAATATTTCAACAGAACTGCAAGAATTTCCACCCCTTTTTAATACTACCTTTCCAACACTTCTTCCTTAATCTCCTGTTTTAAACTCATAATTATTTCAGTGAAGATGTTGATTTTTTTTCACTATTCACATCTAATTCATTACTGTGCCTGCTAGTTTTTTTTCCTAAACAGTTTTTTTGTGTCTCCCACTTCCTATTCACTTCATGCATTATATTATTACAAAAATCTTTTTTTTTTTCTCATTCTTTGCTTCTGGATCCTCCCATGCCCATACCATCATACAAGATGTTAAGAGTAAATGCACTTTTTACATTTTACATGTAAGAGTAGCAGTACTTTCAGGAAAAATAGACTAATTTGATCAATTACAAGATGTACACTGCTCAGAACAAGGACAATTAATGCCATTTTTCTTCTCTGTCCTTATCAGAGCATACCTAGGGTAGCATGTTCAATTCTGGCACCTAAAGAATGTCAACAGACCAAAGAGGATCCGTTACAGAGTGGTCCAGACAGCGATGGGTCTGGAAGTCATGGGAGATGAGGGACAAGTGAAAAACCTTGAGGAACTTTATTGGAAAATAAAAAGGTTAAAAGAAGACATGACTAGAATTTAAATTAAAGGGATATCACATAATAAGAGGCTTAAACTTAGTTTTCTGTCACTTTCATGAATAAAGTGATTCATGAAATCATGAATCACACTGGAAACTATGGATAGGTGGATTTCAGATTCATCTAAAAATATTGCTTAATGTTTAGAGCTATATAAAAAGCTAATGTGCACCTTTGTGATACAATGACTTTTCTGTTCAAGGAGCTGTTGCATGATTACTTACTCCAAATTTGGTAAACAATATTAATGTGTAGGTAAGGGAAATAGACCACATGACCTTGGAATCCTTTACAATGGTGAATAATTGTGCTTCTACAATCATCTAAGCATGTTATTCACTGCCAATTTCTTCGTGCCTCTGTTTTGCTTTAATCAACTCCCTTATCCCCGCCTACCATGGTGTATCCTGATTATTGTGCCATTGTACAACCATACCCAACTTTGGGCAATTCATCCCTATCTCCCTCAAAATCAACTCAAGGAGTCTTCTCTAATTAAATGCATCTCTCTGATTGCTTGGCAGCTAATTAAAGTTTAGGGTAAGATTCTGCAACAAATATGTCAGAAAATCAGACAGACAAAAACCAGTGGCTGAAATGCAATAGAAGTTCATTTCTCTCAAGTAAAGGTTCAGAAGTAGGTGGTCTTGATGAAGATAGTTTTGCATTTTCAATAAGCGGCCTCCACCTCTGGGACCTAGGCAGCTCTTTTCTTTCTCTTCTTCTTGCAGCAGCGGGCCAAAAAAAAAAGGTCCTAAGGCAGTGAGTGCTCAATACTTTAAAAAGCAAAGTTGGAAGTGGCAGGTATCACTTGCACTCACATGGAATTAGCCAGAAATCGGTCTCATGTTTATACCCAACTGCAAACAACACAGGAAGATAGGGTCCTACCTGAGTGACCAAAGACCAGCTAAGATTTCATCATAGATGGAAGGAAGAATGAATATTGAAGAGCATCTCACAGTTGACCACAGCACACTTCAGCAACTTATTCCTTTATTTGTTTGTTTATTTATTTCGTTTTCCTTATTATGATGGCACATTTCATAAGCATTTTGAGAATAAGGACAATGTCCTCTCTTTTTGGTCCATCCGTCCGCAATGTATCCAGTGTAGTGTTATGTACATACTGAGTTCTTAATAATGTTTATTGAATTAATAGATAACCCAAAGTATCATTTTAAAGTCCAATTAGTATTTCTTGGAGAGGGTGGTTATTTCGTTAACTTCCAGTCCTTCTAAGACTTTTAAAATAGGTTTAGTCACAGTTCATTGAAATTTATTATTTCTCCTCTTCCCATTACTCTCTTTACCACTTAGAGATGACCCTGTCATACCTCTCCCCTGATGGCTCCTTCATATGTTTTAAAGGACCCATCCTGGCTGGGTGTGGTGACTCACACCTGTAATTCCAGCACTTTGGGAGGCTGAGGCAGGCAGATCACTTGAGGTCAGGAATTTGAGACGAGCCTGGCCAACATGGTGAAACCCCGTCTCTCCTAAAAATACAAAAATTAGCCATGCGTGGTGGTGGGCACCTGTAATCCCAGCTAATTGGGAGGCTGAGGTGGAGAATTGCTTGAACCCAGGAGGCAGAGGTTGCAGTCAGCTGGGATTGCACCACTGCTCTCCAGCCTGGGTGACAGAGTGAGACTCTGTCTCAAAAAAAAAAAAAAAAAAAAAAGACCCATTTTTACTCTTTATTTGAGGGCTCACATTATAAACAGAAAACTCAGGGCCTTGTGCCACAGGATATAACCTGATTCCTGGCTTTTTAGCAGGGAAACATTTTCTCATAGAGAGGTCAGCAATGCACTTTCACTCTGGGCTGGAGAATTATAGAGCATTTGGTAAAATGATCAATTCTTTGAACACGACCTGACCTACAGCGCTGAGCTTAATATACACATTAGCTGAAATAATGATAAGCCTTTTTAGAAAGTAAACAACTTTATTTTGAGTCATAATTTGCCATTAAATTCCATTAAAAGTTTAGCTGTGAATTTATGTGTTGAAAATTTGTAGCCCTTGGTTAATAATGTTGACATTTGCTTTTTTCAGTATGAGATGTGTATGCTTTTAAATATCCCATAAATTTTTTAAAAATCATTTTATTGTGATAAGAACTCTTAACATGAGATATCTTTCAATAGATTTTTAGGTGTACAATACATTATCCTTCACTATAGGTACAGTACTGTACAGCAGATGTCTAGAGCTGGTTCATCTTGCTCAACTGAAACTTTATGCCCATTGGTTAGTAACTCTTAATTTCTCCTTGCCACTAGTCCTTGGCATCCATCATTTCACTTTCAGATTCTTTAAATTTGATTATTTTAGATACCTTATATAAGTAGACTCATGCATTACTTGTCCATCTGCCTGGCTTATTTCACTTAGCATAGTGTCCTCAAGATCCATTCATGTTGTACCATATTGCAGAATCTCCTCTTTTAAGGCTGAATAGTATTCCATTGTATGTATATATACCACATTACTTTTATCCATTTATCTATCAGTGGATATTTAGTTTGTTTCCACATGTTGTCTATTTAGTTTGTTTCCACATGTTGGCTATTGAGTTTCATAATAAACTTGAAAATGCAAATATCACCTGAAGATCCTGATTTCAACTTGTATTAGTTGGCTTTCATGCTGCTGATAAAGACACACCCAAGACTGAGCACTTTACAAAAGAAAGAGGCTTAGTGGACTTACAATTCCACATGGCTGGAGAGGCCTCACAATCATGGCAGAAGGCTAGGAGGAGCAAGTCATATCTTACATGGATAGCAGCAGGCAAAGAAAGAGCTTGTGCAGGGGAACTCCTCTTTATAAAACCATCAGATCTTATGAGACTTATTCACTATCACAAGACCAGCACAGGAAAGAGCTGCTCCCATGATTCAGTTACCTCCCACTATGTTCCTCCTACAACATATGGGCATTCAATATGAGATTCGGGTGGGGACACAACCAAACCATATCACAACTCAAAATGATAAAGCTGCTATGGAAAACAGTAGGGTATTTTCACAAAAAATTAAAAATGGAACTATCATATCATGCATTTATCCCACCTCTGGATATTTATTTATAAATATTATAAGAGCAAAATTGGTCATGGACAGTGAAGCTTCAGGATCTTTGAATATAGTTTAAAAAATGCACACAGTACAAAGTGACCCATTGCAAAATCTTACATTACTGGAACTTCTTACTTACTGATGAAACTTAAGGTCTTTACATTTTTACTCAGATTACACCTTTACTGCAGTAAAATAGTATAACTTTGTACTTACAGAGACAAATAAATCAGATTCCCTGTGGTCTACTGCTCCCATCCCCCTTGTAGCATTCTTCTCAAGTAGTTGGGTGAGAGTGTAACCCTATGTACATATGAAAGTAACCCTATGTTATTATACTCTCACCCAACTGCTTAGGAAGAATGCCATAAGGAACTAGCACTTACAAAAACTTATAACTCCAAAACAAGTTTTGATGATTTTTATAAGGTTCCTACATTAGTTACATGTTCATTAAATGCTTAAATAAACATTTTTAGTATCTAATCAACTCAGAAGGGTGTCTTTGAAGATAATTTTACTTCTGTAGTTTTTTTTTTTGAAGTTTTATTTTATCTCTAAACAAAATTCTTTAAATTAAATCTTAGCCTTAACAGGGTAAATGGTAAAAGTGAAATTGCAAAGTGAATATCCTCAGGAGAATGTCAGTCTTCATAGACTAATTTCTCAATGACTTTCTTCTCTATTCTGTTTAAAACTGGCTTTTCCACTTAATCTGATCTTTATCAGGAAACACTATGATATTGCCATAAATGAAAAACAAAACAAAAAAAGAAACCTTCACCTTTAGCATCTTTAAAATTTGTTTAGGGAGTAATTTATTACTCCTGAATCACTTGGCACCTAGAACTGAACTTTGCGCATCTTTCCAATTGGCTGATCATAAGCATTCTCTCAATCCCAACTCCATTTATTTGATATCACACCACACATGGTTCATTATTTTCCAGAAGTAGTAGGCTGTGAATTGCCTCATGGCTGCTCAGCAAACTGTGTCAAGCAATAAAATTCTGTGTCACTGGATTGGGTAAAAGCCTCCTTCTTTAGCACTCTTTTCATAGTCTTTATCACAAGAAGAACTCAATTGTAACCTGACCTCTCTCTTCTGTTACATGAATGGAAGCACAGTCAGAATACTGACACAAGCTTCCCCATGGAAGCTTGGAACTAACCCATGGAACCAACGTCTCCTGCTATCATCTATCTGCTGGCCATCCCTCATGTTTTGTTTTTATCTAAAACTAAGGGCTGGAAGATGGCATCATCCACATTAGACCAGAAATGATATAGGTTTCTTCCTTTGTGATGATAAATTCTGGCCCAAAATTACTTTTCATTGTTTTTGCCAGACTGACTAGTTCTTTTAAGTTCAGGGCCCAAATATGGGATATCTAATAAGAGTTCACTCACATACATGTAAAATCAGCATATTGCTGCCCATTAACATATTTAAGCTGTAAGTAATGGATCTGCCCACCTTATCCTCTTTTTGGTTTCTCAGTATTCACTTTGGACCCCCTAAAATCCCTTGCCTTTCCCATATTTCTGTATTTACAGAGTACAAACCCAATTAGCTTAATAGAGTCTTGGTTATTGCTTTATTATTTATCAATTTTTTAAAATTAAATAACAATTGTTTATATTAACGGTGAACAACATGATGCTTTGAAACATGTATACATTTTTGAATGGCTAAATTGTGCTAATTAACATATGCATTACCTCACATATTTATGATTTATTTGTGGAGAGAACACTTAAGATCTACCGTCTTAGCAATTCGCAAGTATACAATACATTGTTATGAACTATAGTCATCATATTATAAAATAGGTATCTTAGATTTATTCTTGCTGTCTAAATGCAATTTTGCATCCTTTGACCAACATCTTGCCAATCCTTCCCCCTCCTCCCATCCCTGGTAACCGTCATTCTTCTTTCTGCTTCTATGAGTTTAGCATTTTTTAGATTTTACATATAAGTGAGATCATGTTTATTAGTCTTTCTGTGATTGGCTTATTTTATTTAACAGAATGTCCTCCAGGTTCATCCATGTTGCTGTTAATGTCAGGATTTGTTTTTGTTTTTTTTTTTTTAAGGTTGAGTAGTATTCCATTGTGTGTATGTACCACATTTTCTTTATCCATTCATCTGTTGATAGACATAGACGTTGAATCCTTATCTTAGCTATTTTGAACAGTGCTGCAATGAACATAAAAGCTGGATATCTCTTCGACACACTGATTTCATTTCCTTTGTAGTTACTGCTTTTTTAATTATCTGTCTCTGACTTTTCATTGTTATTTACTATTAGAAATTTGCTCTACTTCTGGCCTATATTTGTGTATTTATGTTTCCATATCATCATCCTTATATTAGAGTTCACTAAAGGGACACAACTAATAGGATATATGTATATATGAAGGGGAGTTTATTAGGAGAATTGGCTCACACAATCACAAAGTGAAGTCCCACAATAAGCTGTCTGCAAGCTGAGGAGCCAGGAAGCCAGTCCGAGTCCCAAAACCTCAAAAGTAGGGAAGCCGACGATGCAGCCTTCGGTCTGTGGCCAAAGGCCCGAGAGCTCCTGGCAAATCACTGCTGTAAGTTCAAGAGTCCAAAAGCTGAAGAACTTGCCGTCTGATGTTCAAGGTAGGAAGCATCCAGCATGGAGAAAGATGGAGGCCGGAAGACGCAGCAAGCCTGCTCTTCCACCTTCTCCTGACTGCTTTATTCAAGCCGCACTGGCAGTTGATTAGATGGTGCCCACTCAGACTGAGGATGGATCTGCCTCTCCAAACCCACTAATTCAAATGTTAAACTCCCTTGGCAACACCCTCACAGACACACCCAGGAACAATACTTTGCATCCTTCCATCCAATCAAGTTAACACTCGATATCAATATTAACCATCAAAATCATCATCATTATCACCATCATCAACAGCATCACAAATGAAACGTGAGACACAAATGCCAAAGGCACATTATTTATTTGTAAACAGGTTCCTATTGAATGAACAATTAAAAAAATATAAAATCTCGGCCGGGCTCAGTGGCTCAGGCCTGTAATCCCAGGACTTTGCGAGGCCGAGGTGGGCGGATCACGAAGTCAAGAGATGGAGACCATCCTGGCTAACATGGTGAAACTCCGTCTCTACTAAATATACAAAAAAAAATTTTGCCGGGCGAGGTGGCGGATGCCTGTAGTCCCAGCTACTCGGAGGCTAAGGCAGGAGAACGGCGTCAACCCGGGTGGCGGAGGTTGCAGTGAGCGGAGATCGTGCCACTGCGCTCCAGCCTGGGGGACAGAGTGAAACTCCAACTCAAAAATAAATAAATAAATAAATAAATAATAAATAAATCCCAAAATGTATTTGTTCAATCAGAGACCCTAGACTAAAGATGAAATACCAGCCAAGTCATTGATCACTGTTTGCGTTTGGGCTCCACCTTAGCTTGTCTTACTTCTCCGACATCAAAGCCCCCCTCTTACTCTTCACACATACAAACATACACACATACTGAAACCACAGTGTACACAAAACATATCAATTTGAACCTTACTGGCTTCCATAATCCAGCATATTCAAAAAGACTGGAAAACTATATGCATAGGAACAAACTAAATTATTTCAAAAACTCACAAACTTCTAAAAATATAGAAATTTGAGGGAAGAGCCAAGATGGCTGAACAGGAACAGCTCCGGTCTACAGCTCCCAGCGTGAGCGAAGCAGAAGACGGATGATTTCTGCATTTCCATCTGAGGTACTGGGTTCATCTCACTAGGGAGTGTCAGACAGTGGGCGCAGGTCAGTGGGTGCGCGCACCGTGCGCGAGCCAAAGCAGGGCGAGGCATTGCCTCACTTGGGAAGTGCAAGGGGTCAGGGAGTTCCCTTTCCAAGTCAAAGAAAGGGGTGACGGACTCACCTGGAAAATCGGGTCACTCCCACCCGAATACTGCGCTTTTCGGACCGGCTTAAAAAACGGCACACCACGAGATTATATCCCGCACCTGGCTCAGAGGGTCCTACCCCCAAGGAGTCTCGCTGATTGCTAGCATAGCAGTCTGAGATCAAACTGCAAGGCGGCAGCGAGGCTCCGGGAGGGGCGCCTGCCATTGCCCAGGCTTGCTTAGGTAAACAAAGCAGCCGGGAAGCTCCAACTGGGTGGAGCCCACCACAGCTCAAGGAGGCCTGCCTGCCTCTGTAGGCTCCACCTCTGGGGGCAGGGCACAGACAAACAAAAAGACAGCAGTAAACTCTGCAAACTTAAATGTCCCTGTCTGACAGCTCTGAAGAGAGCAGTGGTTCTCCCAGCACGCAGCTGGAGATCTGAGAACAGCAGACAGCCTCCTCAAGTGGGTCCCTGACCCCTGACCCCCGAGCAGCCTAACTGGGAGGCACCCCCCAGCAGGGGCACACTGACACCTCACACGGCAGGGTATTCCAACAGACCTGCAGCTGAGGGTCCTGTCCGTTAGAAGGAAAACTAACAAATAGAAAGGACATCCACACGAAAAACCCATCTGTACATCACCATCATCAAAGACCAAAAGTAGATAAAACCACAAAGATGGGGAAAAAACAGAACAGAAAAACGGGAAACTCTAAAAAGCAGAGCGCTTCTCCTCCTCCAAAGGAATGCAGTTCCTCACCAGCAACGGAACAAAGCTAGACGGAGAATGACTTTGATGAGCTGAGAGAAGAAGGCTTCAGACAATCAAATTACTCTGAGCTACGGGAGGACATTCAAACCAAAGGCAAAGAAGTTTAAAACTTTGAAAAAAATTTAGAAGAATGTATAACTAGAATAACCAATACAGAGAAGTGCTTAAAGGAGCTGATGGAGCTGAAAACCAAGGCTCAAGAACTACGTGAAGAATGCAGAAGCCTCAGGAGCTGATGCGATCAACTGGAAGAAAGGGTATCAGTGATGGAAGATGAAATGAATGAAATGAAGCGAGAAGGGAAGTTTAGAGAAAAAAGAATAAAAAGAAATGAGCAAAGCCTCCAAGAAATATGGGACTATGTGAAAAGACCAAATCTACGTCTGATTGGTGTACCTGAAAGTGATGGGGAGAATGGAACCAAGTTGGAAAACACTCTGCAGGATATTATCCAGGAGAACTTCCCCAATCTAGCAAGGCAGGCCAACGTTCAGATTCAGGAAATACAGAGAACGCCACAAAGATACTCCTCGAGAAGAGCAACTCCAAGACACATAATTGTCAGATTCACCAAAGTTGAAATGAAAAAATGTTAAGGGCAGCCAAAGAGAAAGGTCGGGTTACCCTCAAAGGGAAGCCCATCAGACTAACAGCTGATCTCTCGGCAGAAACCCTACAAGCCAGAAGAGAGTGGGGACCAATATTCAACATTCTTAAAGAAAAGAATTTTCAACCCAGAATTTCATATCCAGCCAAACTAAGCTTCATAAGTGAAGGAGAAATAAAATCCTTTACAGACAAGAAAATGCTGAGAGATTTTGTCACCACCAGGCCTGCCCTAAAAGAGCTCCTGAAGGAAGCGCTAAACATGGAAAGGAACAACCGGGACCAGCCGCTGCAAAATCATGCCAAAATGTAAAGACCATCGAGACTAGGAAGAAACTGCATCAACTAACGAGCAAAATCACCAGCTAACATCATAATGACAGGATCAAATTCACACATAACCATATTAACTTTAAATGTAAATGGACTAAATGCTCCAATTAAAAGACACAGACTGGCAAATTGGATAAAGAGTCAAGACCCATCAGTGTGCTGTATTCAGGAAACCCAACTCATGTGCAGAGACACACATAGGCACAAAATAAAAGGATGGAGGAAGATCTACCAAGCAAATGGAAAACAGAAAAAGGCAGGGGTTGCAATCCTAGTCTCTGATAAAACAGACTTTAAACCAACAAAGATCAAAAGAGACAAAGAAGGCCATTACATAATGGTAAAGGGATCAATTCAACAAGAAGAGCTAACTATTCTAAATATATATGCACCCAATACAGTAGCACCCAGATTCATAAAGCAAGTCCTGAGTGACCTACAAAGAGACTTAGACTCCCACACATTAATAATGGGAGACTTTAACACCCCACTGTCAACATTAGACAGATCAACGAGACAGAAAGTCAACAAGGATACCCAGGAATTGAACTCAGCTCTGCACCAAGCAGACCTAATAGACATCTACAGAACTCTCCACCCCAAATCAACAGAATATACATTTTTTTCAGCACCACAGCACACCTATTCCAAAATTGACCACATACTTGGAAGTAAAGCTCTCCTCAGCAAATGTAAAAGAACAGAGATTATAACAAACTATCTCTCAGACCACAGTGCAATCAAACTAGAACTCAGAATTAAGAATCTCACTCAAAACTGCTCAGCTACATGGAAACTGAACAACCTGCTCCTGAATGACTACTGGATACATAACGAAATGAAGGCAGAAATAAAGATGTTCTTTGAAACCAACGAGAACAAAGACACAACATACCAGAATCTCTGGGACACATTCAAAGCAGTGTGTAGAGGGAAATTTATAGCACTAAATGCCGCCAAGAGAAAGCAGGAAAGATCCAAAATTGACACCCTAACATCACAATTAAAAGAACTAGAAAAGCAAGCGCAAACACATTCAAGAGCTAGCAGAAGGCAAGAAATAACTAAAATCAGAGCAGAACTGAAGGAAATAGAGACCAAAAAAACCCTTCAAAAAATTAATGAATCCAGGAGCTGGTTTTTTGAAAGGATCAACAAAATTGATAGACCGCTAGCAAGACTAATAAAGAAAAAAAGAGAGAAGAATCAAATAGACACAATAAAAAATGATAAAGGGGATATCACCACTGATCCCACAGAAATACAAACTACCATCAGAGAATACTACAAACACCTCTACGCAAATAAACTAGAAAATCTAGAAGAAATGGATAAATTCCTCAACACATACACTCTCCCAAGACTAAACCAGGAAGAAGTTGAATCTCTGAATAGACCAATAACAGGAGCTGAAATTGTGGCAATAATCAATAGTTTACCAACCAAAAAGAGTCCAGGGCCAGATGCATTCACAGCCGAATTCTACCAGAGGTACAAGGAGGAACTGGTACCATTCCTTCTGAAACTATTCCAATCAATAGAAAAAGAGGGAATCCTCCCTAACTCATTTTATGAGGCCAGCATCATTCTGATACCAAAGCCAGGCAGAGACACAACAAAAAAAGAGAATTTTAGACCAATATCCTTGATGAACATTGATGCAAAAATCCTCAATAAAATACTGGCAAAACGAATCCAGCAGCACATCAAAAAGCTTATCCACCATGATCAAGTGGGCTTCATCCCTGGGATGCAAGGCTGGTTCAATATATGCAAATCAATAAATGTAATCCAGCATATAAACAGAGCCAAAGACAAAAACCACATGATTATCTCAATAGATGCAGAAAAGGCCTTTGACAAAATTCAACAACCCTTCATGCTAAAAACTCTCAATAAATTAGGTATTGATGGGACGTATTTCAAAATAATAAGAGCTATCTATGACAAACCCACAGCCAATATCATACTAAATGGGCAAAAACTGGAAGCATTCCCTTTGAAAACTGGCACAAGACAGGGATGCCCTCTCTCACCACTCCTATTCAACATAGTGTTGGAAGTTCTGGCCAGGGCAATTAGGCAGGAGAAGGAAATAAAGGGTATTCAATTAGGAAAAGAGGAAGTCAAATTGTCCCTGTTTGCAGACGACATGATTGTATATCTAGAAAACCCCATCGTCTCAGCCCAAAATCTCCTTAAGCTGATAAGCAACTTCAGCAAAGTCTCAGGATACAAAATCAACGTACAAAAATCACAAGCATTCTTATACACCAACAACAGACAAACAGAGAGCCAAATCATGAGTGAACTCCCATTCACAATTGCTTCAAAGAGAATGAAATACCTAGGAATCCAACTTACAAGGGATGTGAAGGACCTCTTCAAGGAGAACTACAAACCACTGCTCAACGAAATAAAAGAGGATACAAACAAATGGAAGAACATTCCATGCTCATGGGTAGGAAGAATCAATATCGTGAAAATGGCCATACTGCCCAAGGTAATTTACAGATTCAATGCCATCCCCATAAAGCTACCAATGACTTTCTTCACAGAATTGGAAAAAACTACTTTAAAGTTCATATGGAACCAAAAAAGAGCCCTCATCGCCAAGGCAATCCTAAGCCAAAAGAACAAAGCTGGAGGCATCACACTACCTGACTTCAAACTATACTACAAGGCTACAGTAACCAAAACAGCATGGTACTGGTACCAAAACAGAGAGATAGATCAATGGAACAGAACAGAGCCCTCAGAAATAACGCTGCATATCTACAACTATCTGATCTTTGACAAACCTGAGAAAAACAAGCAATGGGGAAAGGATTCCCTAATTAATAAATGGTGCTGGGAAAACTGGCTAGCCATATGGAGAAAGATGAAACTGGATCCCTTCCTTACACCTTATACAAAAATCAATTCAAGATGGATTAAAGACTTAAATGTTAGACCTAAAACCATAAAAACCCTAGAAGAAAACCTAGGCAATACCATTCAGGACATAGGCATGGGCAAGGACTTCATGTCTAAAACACCAAAAGCAATGGCAATAAAAGACAAAATTGACAAATGGGGTTTAATTAAACTAAAGAGCTTCTGCACAGCAAAAGAAACTACCATCAGAGTGAACAGGCAACCTACAAAATGGGAGAAAGTTTTCGCAACCTACTCATCTGACAAAGGGCTAATATCCAGAATCTACAATGAACTCAAACAAATTTACAAGAAAAAAACAAACAACCCCATCAAAAAGTGGGCGAAGGACATGAACAGACACTTCTCAAAAGAAGACATTTATGCAGCCAAAAAACACATGAAAAAATGCTCATCATCACTGGCTATCAGAGAAATGCAAATCAAAACCACTATGAGATACTATCTCACACCAGTTAGAATGGCAATCATTAAAAAGTCAGGAAACAACAGGTGGTGGAGAGGATGTGGAGAAATAGGAACACTTTTACACTGTTGGTGGGACTGTAAACTAGTTCAACCATTGTTGAAGTCAGCGTGGCGATTCCTCAGGGATCTAGAACTAGAAATACCATTTGACCCAGCCATCCCATTACTGGGTATATACCCAAGGGAGTCTAAATCATGCTGCTATAAAGACACATGCACACGTATGTTTATTGCGGCATTATTCACAATAGCAAAGAGTTGGAACCAACGCAAATGTCCAACAATAATAGACTGGATTAAGAAAATGTGGCACATATACACCATGGAATACTATGCAGCCATAAAAAATGATGAGTTCATGTCCTTTGTAGGGACATGGATGAAATTGGAAATCATCATTCTCAGTAAACTATCGCAAGAACAAAAAAACCAAACACCGCATATTCTCACTCATAGGTGGGAATTGAACAATGAGATCACATGGACACAGGAAGGGGAATATCACACTCTGGGGACTGTGGTGGGGTGGGGGGTGGGGGGAGGGATAGCATTGGGAGATATACCTAATGCTAGATGACGAGTTAGTGGGTGCAGCGCACCAGCATGTCACATGTATACATATGTAACTAACCTGCACAATGTGCACATGTACCCTAAAACTTAAAGTATAATAAAAAAATAAAAAATAAATAAATAAAAAGAAATTTGAGAAAATGTACGTATAAAAAATTGAGAAAAGACATTTAATCAAATTCTATATATATTCATGATAAAAACATTTTGTCTATTAGAATTGAAGGGAACTTCTTGACCTCATAAAGGAAATCTACTGAAGAGAACATAATGAAATACCTAATGGTGAAATTAAATATTGCCTTGCGTATCAGGAATAAGACAAACGTGCTCAATATGACAACATGCTGCTGAAAGCTTCATAGCCAGTGCAGCAAGACATGAAAGGAAAATAAAAGACATGAAGATTGGAAAGCAAGAAATAAAGCTCTTATTATTTGTAGAAAATATGATTCTCTAAAACTAGAGGATTTAAACACTCTTAGAACCTCTAAAATAGTTTTAAAATGTGGTTGGACACAAAATCAATACACAAAAATCAATCGTGTTTATATACTTCAGCAACAAAGAACACATTTCTATGTGTCCTTTCCTCTATAACTTCAGTGGTGCTTACCCTTAATGATTGGGGACTTGAATACTTAATTTGCAGAGGTGAGAACTTCCAGGCCAGAAGGCAAGGAGGTAGCATCCTAGGGGAGTTTACTGAAGAGTAGGAAAGGCTTCCCGGAGTAGGAGTTACTGGAACTAGTGTTGAATATATTTAGGAATGAGCCAAAAAAAGGGTGCTTGGGTATGGTGGCTCACACTTGTAATCCCAGCATTTGGGGAGGCTGAGTTGGGAGGATCACTTGAGCCCCAAAGTTCTAAACCAGCCTGGACAACAAAGCGGGACTCCTGTAGCTGTGTGTGGTGGCTCACATCTGTAGTCCTAGCTACTTGGGAGGCTGAGATGGAACAATAATTCGAGCCTGGGTGGTAGAGGCTGCAGTGAGCTATGATCGCACCACTGCACACCAGCCTGGGTGATGGAGCAAAACCCTGTCTCAAAAAAAAGAGAAGGAAACAAAGGGTGTGGGCTGGGCACAGTGGCTCACACTTGTAATCCCAGCACTTTGGGAGGCTGTGGTGGGCAGACCACTCAAGGTCAGGAGTTCAAGATTAGCCTGGCCAACATGGTGAAACCCCGTCTCTACTAAATACAAAAATTAGCCAGGTGTGGTGGCATGCGCCTGTAGTCCCAACTACTCAGGAGGCTGAGGCAGGAGAATCACTTGAACCTGGGAGGTGGAGGTTGCAGTGAGATGATATTGCCCCACAACACTCCAGCCTGGGCAACAGAGCGAGACTCTGCCTAAAAAAAAAAAGAAAAGAAAGGAAAGGAAAAGAAAAAAGTAAAGGAGAGGAGAGGAGAGAAGAGTGTGGACTGGTGGGATAAGGGTAGTCATGACTGAAGTAGGCAAACCTGGAATCATAAGGGTCAGAGAATAAATTAAAGACCACAGGGGAAGAGGGGAGTTTATGAACTTGTCAAGAAACACCACTAAGTAGTTGGCTGAGGAGGAAATGTTAAGGTTTTCTGAGTAATAGAATGGAAAACACTACTGGTGTTTGTGCCAGTTAAACATGAAAAGCTAGCATCCTTGAGAGGACTGAATAAATCTATTGTTCTCTCCACAGATGGTTAAAATAAGTCTCACTTTTCCTTGGTCAGGAAAGAGTCTTCAGTTAGGTCCAGTCAAGGTGTTAATACTGAGGGGAAAAGAGTCACTCAAAGTCCACCGTACTTGAACAGCTTCAGCTGGTTCTATGAGTGGCTATGAAACACAGCATTCAGTTTCTATGTCTCCTGCACAAGAGCCTGAGTAAGTAGATCATTCTCCTTTTACAGAAGTAATGCAGGGTGTCTGGATCTGGATTTGAGGCTATTTTAAGGGGTCCATTAACCTGTAGGCAACAAGCAGCCCAAAATACTCTGAGAGAGAATGGCACAGACAGAATTCTGCTGTGGCGACTGGGGCACTCTGCCAGCCATGCACAGGAGGTTCCTGATGGGAGTTGACTATCCATGACTCTTCCAAAGAGATATCAATTTAATTTTATAAAAAGACACTAAAGGTACAAAGGTGACTAAGACACTGTCCCTGCCTTCCCAAGCAGTGTTAACATTTTGGATATTTGGATGAGCTTGGTGTAAAGAGGAAAGGCTGTGTTTAAATCTGTACTGGCTGATGCTGCCTGAGCTTTACCAGGGCCTGAAGGAGGCTCTGCTAGGAATGGCAATTAACAGTCTGGGCACATGGGCACATGCTAGGAGCCAATGCATGCAAATGAAAAACAAACAAACCTGAAGGTGGGATGGGGAGAAGGAGGTACAGCGGGGAGGGACTGGGAGCGGATCAAACAGCTAACCCACCCATCCGATGAATTCTTCTCTGCTCTCATTTCCAAACTGCACAGGGTTGGCTAAGCGTGCTCCTCACTTGTTAATCTCCTTTTTGCATCCCTGTTTTTGTGGCTGTCAGAGCTCCATATTATGCAAATTGGGCTTAAGCAATTAAGGCAATAATGTTTCCCTTGAAGAGTTTGACAAGGTGGTGGGAGCTTGGGATGAATTTTGCAGACAGGAGCTTGGATGCTTATTTACCTACAAATAGAAGAGAACAAGAAAGGGGAAAACACTGCAGCATCAAGCTTACCTGAGCTTGGGCTGCTATTTTCTCTTGCTTTTTGTTTGGTTGCTTCATAGGAGAACAAAGGGTCACTCCATGGCATTAGTGGGTGGTAAATTTAGAACAAATGAACACTTTTCACAAGATGTAGCTTTAACCTGTTGAAGTCACAGCTGCAGAGATCACTGAACCAAGCTCGCTGGCAGGGTTTTAAACGGAACTGGGTGATTTTATGACAAAGAATATTTGAAGCCCCTGGGGGCTATGTGTCTCCTGTTTGGGGTCATGAGCTGATTGTCTCGAAGCTAGAGAGAAGCAAGTCTGGCAAGCTAGACTTTGTCTTTGATAAACTGAATTGCACAGTAAATGAGAATGTCACAACTACCTGACTCTGAAAAATCCACTGTTATTAGGAAAACAGATAGGATGTATCAGACTCTTAATTGGGAATGGCACATTCCACATTTCTATACTTAGGGAACAATATCCAGATGATACCATCCTCAACCTAAGCATGTGGCTGGACAACCACCTCTTATAGCTTGCCAGTTATTATTCCTCCTCTCCCTGTAGTGTGGTTGAAGCTTCCTGAAATCTCAGAGTAACCACAGAAAATGGTGCCCTCTCTTCTGCTAGCATTTCGTATGAACTGTTCAACCTCTTATTAGTTGATCAACAAGTTGTTAGGAAATTCCTGCTATACATGTAGCTGTGTGTGTGTGTGTGTGTGTGTGTGTGTGTGTGTAAAGTAAGACTGAAAAACAGTAAAACTGTAAGGTACCTTTCTCCCCATTTTTTGATTATTCTATTACCATAGCCTTCATTCCCAGCTCCTTCTACATTCATTTCCAGTTTACCTCACCTGCAAATATGTATCATTTGTCAAGCATTTTTAAGTTTCTGTCTTCCTAAAATATAAGATCTGCCACCCAATATAAACATCTATAGATTCACCTTTCCTTATTTTTCTAAATTTATCCATGTATAGTCAATGGTTGCCACAACCACCTTCTCCCTTTCATAAACTTATCAATGAACCTAATTCTGACCCCTCTCCCCTGAAATTTTTTATAAATCCTACAATTAAATATTATTTGCTTAATCTAATAATAGAGTCCTTCTTCTAATCTCACTCTACTTGACTGCTCTCTAACATTTCATACTGTTCATCTTCTGGAAATTCTGTCTTGTCTTCATTCTACTTCTCGCCTACACATTTGCCTGATAATGGCTGTCTCACTCATTTATTTGCTCACTCATTTATTTATCCTAGCAGACTAGGTGCTAAGACTAGTGCTTACACTTCTACTCTGTGCTAAGAACTGAGATATGTTCTGGGACCACAAAATTGAATAAGACACAGTCCCACTCTTAGACACTTTTCTTCAGCGGGGATAAAATAAAAGCAAATGAACTAACATAATATTGTGGCTAAGTATAATACTAGTGTAAAAGAGGTAAGATTGAAGGTAGGAAGAAAGAACACCTAATTGTTGGGATTGAATATCAGGAAAGGCATCCTGGAAGGAATGTTAACTGAACTGAGTTTTAAAGTTTTAAGAAATAATTAACCATGTATTTCTTAACAGTAGGTGTTGACTAAGCTTTCCTACTCAGTCTTCTTCCCGCCCAGCTCCAAACTTCCTTATAGCTTTTATCCTAAAAAAAAAAAAATCACAAGCAAACATCTCAACCCTAATTTTTCTACTGAGTTCTGATTTTCTATTTTTATTTATTTTATTTCATTTTATTTTTGAGACAAGGTCTTGCTCTGTCACACAGGCTATAGTGCAGTGACACAATCATGGCTCACTGCAGCCTGGACCTCCCAGGCTCAAGTGATTCTCCTGCCATAGCCTCCTGAGTAGGTAGAATGACAGGCATGCACCATCATGCCCAGCTAATTTTTTAAAAACAACTATTTGCAGAGATGGGGTCTTCCTGTGTTGCCCAGGCTGGTTTTGAACTCCGGAGCTCAAGTGACCCTCCTGCCTCAGGCTCCCAAAGTGCTGGGATTACAGGCATGAGCCGCTGCGCCCAGTCCAGTTCTGATTTTCTTTTTTTTTCTGAGACGGAGTCTTGCTCTGTCGCCCAGGCTGAAGTGCAGTGGCGCCATCCAGGCTCACTATAAGCTGCGCCTCCCGAGTTCACGTCATTCTCCTGCCTCAGCCTCCAGAGTAGCAGGGACTACAGCTGCCCGCTACGAAGCCCGGCTAATTTTTTGTATTTTTTTAGTAGAGACGGGGTTTCACTGTGTTAGCCGGGATGGTCTCGATCTCCTGGCCTCGTGATCCGCCAGCCTCGGCCTCCCACAGTGCTGGGATTACAGGCGTGAGCCACCGTGCCCAGCTCAGTTCTGATTTTCTAATAGAAATTTCCTTCTCTAAATAGCAAAACTAAGCATCACTCCCACCCAGAAATCTTTTTTGTTGGAGTACTCAATCTCAGTTCATAATAAACTCTTTCATCACTCACTAACACTTGAAACTGTGGAGGCATTTTGAGGTTCTCATTCTTCTCCCTTAACCTACATAACACATTAGTCACCGACCACTGGAGATTCTTATCTCCCAAAGGAACATCAAGTCTATTTTCCCCTTTTTATCCCTGTAAACTGTGGTCTTCACCATTTCTCACTATGAACAGTAGCAACTTCCCATCTGATTTCCTACAGAAATGCTCACAAAAGAAAGTTCATGCATTTTTAGCATATCATTCTGCCCTTATCTTTTGAACGTCATCTTTCCTCATTTTTTTATTCCAACTTTGCACATTATTCACCACGAATGGCTCTTGCTTTCCTGAATAAGATATATCTGTATCTCCATGCCATTTCTCATAGTGTTTCTCTTTGTGCAGTAACCTACCTGCCTTTCTTTGACTGGTGAAATTGGATTTATCCTTTATGTTCCAGCTTAAATGTCATATATATTTATATCTATATATCAATATCTATATAAACAATACTATACATCCTATTATAATAAAGTTGTCCATAAATGTGTTTGCCCACTACTGAACTGTATATATCATTGGAAGCAAGGATCGGATCTCATACCAGTGCTCAGTAGATGCCCAGAAAAGACATCTGTAAAATAAAAATACGGATCCCTGACTGTCAGTTTCCCAGTGTTCTTCCGCAGAACCAGAGATTCTCATTATTAAGAATAATTTGAAATAGATGGCTTGATACTGAAATAGAAGAATTAAGATTATAATGACAAGAAAATAGAGCAATTCAAAATGACTGAGAAGAAATCTGCTGCCCTGCCTAGAAAGTGAAATAAGAAAGACATTGAAGAGTTGGCACAGTGCTTTAAGCAATTTTTAACTTAATATGCTGAGTCTGTAGAGTTGTAACTTATCCGATCTAGCTGAGTAAGGTGAGTTTGTATACTTCAAACTAGTTTGTAAACCATGATTGCCTGCACTATAGTTTAAAAAAAAAGATGATGTTGTCTGCATCTTGAAGCAGCTGGCTCCATCTGAGTTTTGGAGGTGAGACGTTTGGAAGGAGAAGTGACAAGGACAAAGTTATAAATTTCAGACCTATAGTCTGCACTCATGCAGTTCTTGTCTCTCTCCTAAACTTATTCTGGAAAGAGAGGACAGAGAAAGGTTACAACAGGGAGTGGGTGACAGAACCTAGACAAAGTGAGTGAGAGAGAGAGAGAGTGTGTGTGTGTGTGTGTGTGTGTGTGTGTGTGTCCGAGTGGGATACTTTTGTTTTAGGCCTCACCAGGGGACCCCCATTTTATCAGAGACTGCTGATACAAAGTACTTGTTATTTGGAAGAGAATCACTGAATGGCTTCTAGTCTGCCCTTTCATTTAATGGACCTTTTGGGAGGTGCAGACAGTTTGGGCTCAAGATGAAGAGAATAACGAATGAGAGACATAGCAATGAAAAACCCAGTTAATGGATGCTCTCAGGAGTTGTTCTGCAGAAGCAGGCATAAAGGAGTGGGAGCCCAAGAAGGATGTGAGATCCTGAATGAAGGAGTGCCTGGTGGGAGGGTAACCCAAAGGAAAGGGCCCCAGAAAGTACAATGAATGAAATAATGGGGAGCAAAGTGAGACTGATACACTTCAGCACTTTAAAATTTTACCCATAACAGGAACTAGCTTTATATTTTGACTACACGTGATAAGGCAGGTCTCTAGGAGGAAAAAATTTCTGCTACTTTTTTTAATCTAAATTATTTCTCTGACCTCTTTTTCCCTACAGTTTTCATATAAAATTGAAGTTTTATCCTGGCAATGAATAGCTCAAATAAAAATCCCTGAATAATGAACATTATAGCTTAGATAGTATATCGGGGAGAAATAAAATCAATACTATTACTAGTTATGATCTACTTGAGATAGGATTCTCAAATGTTTCTACCCACTGGTCAATTCGCATGACATGAGTGAGTTTAGTAGAATTCTCATCAATTGTTGTCAAAAAATATATATTGATAGTTGGACACTGTATTAGGTTCTGTGAATAAAGAGATGAATAAAATAATTAATCTTATCATCAAATATTTACAGAAGACTTAGAGCCAGGAATTATTCTAGTTGCTATAATGAAATGAAGCCTAACATCACTCTAAATGAGGATTAAAATCTGTCCCCTTGAGTACTTACTAGTAATCTTAGTCAAAATTATATCAGAATTTAGCTAAAGACCTCCGCATATAAAAATTTAGCTGAATATTCCTGAAAGTCCTCGGATGATCAATGAGAAGATGAGGTGAAGGGCACTGACCCTTATGGCTCAGTCTCTATGCAAAAAAAGTGTTTACATTTCTGAAACGTGGACTTTGCACTAACTATCAAACAATTACTAGCTCATTGATTTATAGTGACCAATAAATAGTATTCTATTTTCATTTTTAGGGCAATGAATCTCATCACTTAATACATATAAACATCGCTAAGTATGCTTATTTTAAAAATAGATTCTTGGATCCAACACACCAAAGATTCTAATTTAGTCAATCTAGGGTAGGGACTAGGAACAATCTAATATTGTTAGTAAGAACCTGGGTGATTCCAACATAATCGATCTATGAAAAAATCTTTGCAAAACACTGCTTTATGAAGAGACTTTTCCTTTAAATGTTTTTTTTTTTTCATTTTTTTTTCTAAAAGACTTTTATCCTAGAACAGTTTTTTAAAAATATATTCATTTACTTTTGGGCTTCCATCTTTACCAAAACTGACTAAGTATGTGCTATTTCAACTTTCCTTCTGTCAATTTATTTTGCTTCTTGTTCATAGTTTAGACAATATTAGTTGTGGTACATTACAAACTGATGTTGGTTTATTGTCATACCAATTTAGGAGAAATTTAGAAACTGTTTAGGTGAGATAGTTGAATTGTATATATTGGCTGTTTAATTATATTTGTGGTATATTAATACTGATATGAGAAAATTTATTTAATCAGAAATATTAAAATTGCTTTTAATAATAGAAAGCCTGAAAAAAAGATGGTTGTATTGGTGAAGACACACTCAGGAAACAGGAGTCAGAAATCACTCAGTTTTAAAATAAAGAACATTCAATTCAAATATTTGTAACACAGAAGTGATGAAATTTTGAAAAGCCAATTAGAGGGCAGTGAGTAACCCAGTGACTAGCATCAACTGGAGAGACAAAGGAGGGGAATTGGGGTTACTGGAGTCAAGGGATTGATCTCTAGAGGAAATATAGCCATCTCCAAAGACTATGACCAAGGCAGAGGAAAAGGGAGATCAATACAGTGCCTACTCCCTGCCCTCATACTCTAGTTTTCTGTTAGCACATCTCTCTGAATGAACCCAGTTGGCAGGGGATCCTGGGAAATACAGCCTGTACCAGTCTGCTGCACAGTGATTCAGAAAAGAAGGGAAAGAATGAAGAATAACTTTTAGAATAATAGGTCAAGGACCAGCATGGAAGTGTATATTCTCCCAAATCTAGTTTAATGATTTCCCCAAATCTACTTTGTTTTTTCAAATCTACTTTAATGTCAAGACCTATGATTGTCTCTGATCATCTTAATAAGCCCCTCTTTGTATCATACCAAACCTCAATCTCGATCAATGATTTAGCTGAGCATTAGGCAGGAATTGGGAAGGATAGGAGGCGTAGTGGGCTATTTAGGAATCCCCCGGCCGGGTACGGAGGCTCACGCCTGTAATCCCAACACTTTGGGAGGCCGAGGTGGGCGGATCACGACGTCAAGAGATGGAGACCATCCTGGCTAACACGGTGAAACCCCGTCTCTACTAAAAAACACGAAAAAATTAGCTGGGCGTGGTGGCGGGCTCCTGCAGTCCCAGCTACTCGGGAGGCTGAGGCAGGAGAATGGCGTGAACCCGGGAGGCGGAGCTTGCGGTGAGCTGAGATCATGCCAATGTACTCCAGCCTGGGCGACAGAGCGAGACTCTGACTCAAACAAACAAACAAACAAACAAACAAACAAACAAAAAACAATTCCCCACATCAGTACTGCAGTTTGATTCTTTGGGATCCACGGGAGAAATTGAAAAGGATTATGGCTTTTTTCGGTTTGTGTCTTCCGCTGCCTATATTGCTCCTCGACCCTTCTCTGCATTTCTATCTGAGGTCTCCCATGGGAGCCATGAGCATTTGTCCATCTTCAGCTTCCTATATACTAGTTTACATGGAAAAATCTGGCATTCATCTTCTAATGGCCATCACCCCTTACCTCTCTCACCTTTGCCACCTCCTCCTAATGTGATGTGCTTTTAACCCTGATTTCTCTCCTATAGGAGTCGGATTGCGTTAACTGGTAAGCTTTAGAATGGTCAGTTCCAATTGCACCCTGACTGCAACTGGCTTTCCGTTTTCTGTCTGAAACTCATCATGACTTAGCAAACACTGTGCACAACTAAAGAAGTGGATGTGTGACTGAACTAGGGTCAGCAAAGGGATGATGACTGTAGAGCTGGTGATGATGTGGTGTTTAATTCATAAAAAGCACTGGACTTATTATTTTGTTGTTTTAGCTGGTGTTTTCATGTTTAACTTTCCTGGCATTGTAGTCTTCATTTCACTGTAATGTTTTATTTAGTTACATAGTATGGGTGGAAGGGTGGGAAATACTAGATGTATTTTCCTACATTTTGGTGGCCAGGATTTCTGGTCTTCTCCAGCTTCTGTTTTTAATATGAATTTGAGCTTGTTTCAATACCAAAATGAAGCATGTGTTGCAAAACGAGATCAGTCATTGTCTAGCACAATGTCTGGCTTACTGCAAGCGTTGTTTTTTTTGTTTGTTTGTAAATATACTTTTTTTGTTGTTGTTGCTGTTTTTACAAGGCTCACCAAGTCTTTCAGATGGGGAGCATTTCATTTACCTTTGAAAAATCTTTACATGACAAGACAAATGGTATCCTGCTTTTCAAAAACAAATGCTTTTTTGAACTTCTCTACCAGGAATTAATGATTCCAAGGCTTGTCAGTCATGTCTATTATGACAAATAACTCCATAGATGGGAACTTTGAAGAAGATCCTGCCTGAATGAGCTCAAGTCCTCCAGTTTCCCTAACACCAGAGGAGAAGTTGGACAATCAGGCATTGATTTACCTTTTTGTATGATAAAAGACGCCTTACTATCCCTGTTTAACCTTGAACAAATCAAATAATTGCAAGCATAGCAGTCTCATTTATAAAATGTAAATTTGTAAAACCTTTAACTCATGATTTTAGGGAGGACATAGTAAGTTTATGTATATGAATGTGCTTTATAAATAATAAAGCATTAGAAAAGTAAAGAATAATAACATCGCCCTCATCCTCATTTGTAATTGTACAGGAAACTATTCATCTACCGTGGAGTTGTTCTATTACAGTGCAGTTGTTGGCAAAGCACTATAAAATTGTCTAATTAAGTGGTGGTTGAAGCACCTCTGGTACCAATGTAATCCAATTACATTTACCAGGTAGAGGAAATTAGAGTGGAAATTTAGTCTTTGTCATGAATAGCTCCCTGATCATTAGCCAGGCTTTCAGAGCTGAAAAGGTCCTTAGATATCATCTATTCCAATAACCTAATTGCTTCAAAAGAAAAACCACTGGAAACATGGAGTAGCACAGCACTAACCATTGACAAGGTTGTAACAGAAATGATTTGGAGTAGGGCAGAAACTTGACCATTTTTCTATCTTTGCTGACTCATCACCTAATACTTTTCTTTAATTTTCCATCTTTCCAGGTGTCACTTATTAATAATGTTTTCATATGCCTTCACATCTTCCAACTTATTCTCTCTAATCTCATTCCCACCAGTGTATTGGGAGATACAGGGAAAATGAGTGAGACTGAAAGAGGCAAAGACTCAGGCAGAGAGAAGAAAAACGAAAGAGACAAAGGTTTACTAAAGAAGACAGAGAAATTGAGAGAGTAATGGAATGCCAATATTGGTGAGGATGGCTGGGCAGGGAAGCAAGTGATTAAAGAATAAGAAGTAGATGGAGCTCTAGGATTTAGAACTGGTGTCTGGCATTTCCTCATACATCTGCTCTTGTTCCATTTCCTTCCAATTCTTATGTTTACTCCTGCATCATCACTGCAGCAAGAGGTGCTTCTCAAGCTACCTCTCACTGATCGGAACAATCAGAAAGCCCTTGTCTAAGCCCTTGTTTGGCTCATGAATTGTTGTATTAATATCCAATACAATGACATCTGTTCCCATGAATTTAACAATCATGAAGCCACAGAAGTCACACAAATGTTTTAGTTACAAGAATAATACATTGCTGTAATAGAATATTTTAAATGATTATTAGGTTAGGTTATGTTTGTTATCTCTTTTTTTTCCCTCAGTAATTCAGAAATTCAGACAGATATTTGTGTTCCTAGTATGCAGATGGAGAAGCTAAGGCCTGTGGCTACTAAGTAATTTACTGGAGATCACACTTCAAGTTAGTCATGTTTATCTAAGTGATGAAAGAGTTAAATCTGATGCTTGGATATGGATGAAAAGAATTCAGAGATATGATTTGTACATTTTTAACATTTATTATTCACTAATCAAAAAAAAACTATTATAATTTAGAAAATCTTGCTTTAGAAGCCCCATTAGGTTCCTGAAATAAGTCATTGGCTAATTGCAGGAATACCATGCAGGAATGTTGAGAAAATGGAATGGCACAAAAACCTGATTCAAGACAGAAGAGCTAAACCCGGAAACTAGATGGGCCAAGGAAATTACTTCCATTTCCTAAACCAAGCTGCTGAATTGTCCTGGGATTCAGTGAAGCTGGCTGGGATCCAAAAGTTGACTGGAATCCTCAGCCCTAAACTGTCTCATGCCCTGAAAGGTTCTTAACCTTCCTGGGCTGCAGAGTCATTTGGGAATCCCCTCAAAAATGTGCAGTCCTAAAAACTCACACAATATCATTCAGTATCTGGCATTCACGGGCTTCCTAAAACCCACCTGTAGATCCCTTAGGGTGATGTCTCAATGTTTGCCCCTTGGACCACTTCATCAGTATCTCTTATGTTGCGTTCTTATTAAAATGCAGATTCCTGACCCTCACCCCAAGCCAATCAAAACAGTTTCTGTGTATGGAGGATAGACATTTGCATTCGTTTTGTTTGTTTGTTTGTTTGTTTTGAGACAGAGTCTTGCACTATTGCCCAGGCTGAAGTGCAGTGGCGCAATCTTGGCTCACTGCAAGCTCCACCTCCTGGGTTCAGGCCATTCTCCTGCCTCAGCCTCCCGAGTAGCTGGGACTACAGGCACGAGTCACCACGCCGGGCTAATTTTTTGTACTTTTAGTAGCAATACAGCTAATTTTTACACAAACTACAGTGTGACAACCAATGTTTTAAGTATCCACTGAGCCTGGCATAAAACCATGAGTCTTAGAAAACTAAATTTGACACAGCCTCACAAATTCAACTATTTTGTTCCACCCTTAAATAAGGTTTCAGAGTAGCACATGTTGAAGCTGGAATAGACGTGAACTCTAGGAAGACCAGTGGTTCTTTGTTCTTGTGTTTTTCTCCACCAAAGATGCCCAAGATGGGAGGGCATCTGACTTACCAAGGCCTCAGAAGGCATCTAAGGGTAATTCTCCATTGTCTAGCACCAACTGAAAGAGGATTCTAGGTGGCTAAGAAGGCTTGTTAACAAAATGTTATGATCCCATTTATTCCAAAATTACATATATAATAATAGAAAATATTACCTTCCTTGTAGCTTTCCACTGTCTATGATGCATACACTTTTTACTGTATCCCACTGGTTTGGAAATATGAAGCCAGTGTTGTAAAAAAGTGAATAGGCCAGTCCTGTTTATTCCCATTAAAATGCAGATACACACTGTTTGTTTATCTCCCTCTGGGAACAAGCTGGGAAACTGTTAGTGTTGGGGAAAATAATAATAAAAAAAAAAAGTCTTAAGTGTTGACTCCACATTTTCAGGGCTTCGTAAGTCCTTCTGAGTGTAGCACTCTATCACTTTTCTCAGCAGGGTATAATTACTCATAACTTGAAGGTTTTATCTCTGGGCTGCGTCTAATAAAAAGGGGGGAAAGGAAGGTAAATCTATCACTCACTGCAAGTATAGATGCTTAATTACATATCACATATAATTGTTTCAGTTTCTTGCGTGACAAGTGCACCATCCAGGAATTTGGAATGGAGGTGGGGAGATCATCCAGCAGACTTAAAAAGATTTTAGCTGTGGAGATTTCTTAATGCATGTGTGTGTGTGTGTGTGTGTGTGTGTGTGTGTGTGTGTGTCTACTACTGGACCTGAGGCTCATAGTGGTGTCTGGTTTTTGGTTCTGTTATTTAAAAAACTTATTTTTTACATTGAAAGGTAAAATTGTACATATTTACCATATACAACATGATGTTTTGATGTATATATGCATTGTGGAATCACTAAGTCTAGGTGTCTGGTTTTTGAATCTCTCGTGCTTGTTAAAAACAGGAAATTTGCTCAGTATTTTTAAACTACAAAATGATTGTTTCATCTTTCTGTACAACTTATTTGTGTTCCCACTCTTGTACAGGCCAATGTCTCTTTTACTTGTCATTTACATGTGATGAATCTGATATCACCCCATGACAAAAAGTACAAAAGGAAAATTGGGGTTCTGCAATTATTAAAAAGGGGGATCATGACTCCTTTTGTAATGATATAGGCCACTTAAAAACTTACACCAAAATGCATTGTAGGACCTTCTCTAATCGTTTCTTCTACCCTGAATCCAAGCAGCTTTGGAAGTTTGCAGGCAATGTGTTCACAGGGCTGAGTTTCTGGGATTGTCCATCTCTGTTGAAGGCCTTCCCTAGAACTGAGGTGGTTTTGCTTTTCGAGGTCTGAGAAATAAATGGGCTTTTTCTGTAGATGTGTGACATTGCCCAGACACAGTATTTTCTGAATGTCATCCAGACCCAGAGGAAGCCTTGATTCGTAGCACTTGCCAATTTCCTTGGTGTAAATATTCCCACTACAGCCAGTTGAGAGGCTCTGCTGTATCTATGCAGGGTTTCTTTGTGATCTGCAAAAATGCCAACACCACTCTCTTCTCAAAAATATTTCTATTGCACTTCCTTATACCAGGAAAATTATTTATCTAGACCACCACTTAGGTCTCTCTGCCTTACTTCATTCAGGCTTCCACTGAAATGTCCCCTCCTCAGAGTGGCCTTCAATGACCATATATTAATCTTTATCCACTTTTTGTTCATAGTACTTACCATGAACTGAAACTATATGTTTACTTGTTTATTATCTGTTTATTATTCCCTCACTAGAATAGAAGCTTATGAATTAGTTGGTCTTTATTATCGTGTTTCCAGCACCTAGAATAAAGTTGACTTGTAGTAGTTGCTCAGAAGTAATTGTTGCATTAATGAATAAAATGCATGACTGATCAATACTGATGAGATGAAGACTGCAAAGACTTTTAACAGTTCTGGAAGATTTTTAATCAATGGTCAATCTCACTGTGCTTTTCCCATTCCTCATTCATCTTTCTATCGTAGTTTCTGCTGAGTATATGTGAGCTTTGTGTTAGACTGGGAGCCTCTTAGAGAAAGACATCATTTCTTAATTACTTTTGAATTCCCCCATTCCCGCAATATAGTAGAAGCTCAAGAAATACATGTTAAGTGAGCAAATAAACGCATCACTTTGTTTTGTTATTCTTATCCCGTTTCCCAGGAGTGATTCATAATATATCATTAGGTTACAATAAAAGAAGCTTGTGTGAATCTAGCAGGGCCAGCAAGAACTTGAGAGCAAATAAACAGACTGCATTTTACCCCACAAACAGGCTAAAGGGAGACTAGAAAGTCAAGAGGATGGAGTCAGTTTTGGCAGCTGCCAATGAAAAGCAGCAAAGTCCCTGGGATTTTAGGCCAAGAAAGAAGCCCTGAGGCTTCACAGATTAATGGCTCCCAAGGGGCTTCTGTCAGGAAACATGCAGATACCAGGCATTCATAAATATGTTGTAGGGTATCAAATTAGACCTTTAATCAATAGAGCTGCATATGATCTCAAAGTTAACTGTTCCTGGGGGGTCTCCCTGGAAAAGCATGGGTCTGACAGGAGGCCCTTTAGAGGCCATGGCTTTTGTACATCTGCTTTTCCTTATACATAGCACGATCACTAAGTGAGGCAAAGAACTCCCACTAACAAGTGGTCTGGATGGGGAGGGCATTTAAGGTCATATAGATATGATATTTGACACCAGTAAGGAGCACCAATGAACTTTGAAAGGGCCTGTTGTTTTTATGTGTTGGAATGATTTGCATAGAAAAACGTGTACAAAATACTGCATGTTCTCACTAATAAATGGGAGCTAAATGATGAAAACACACGGACACACAGAGGGGAACAAAACATCCTGGGGCCTATTGGAGGATGGAGGGTGGGAGGAGAGAGGGGATCAGGAAAAATAACTAATGGGTACTAGGCTTAATACCTGGGTGATGAAATAATCTGTACAACAAACCCCCATGACACAAGTTTGCCTATGTAACAAACCTGCACATGTACCCCTGAACATAAAATAAAAGTGAAAAAAATGTGTACAAAGGGAAGATTATCCCTTCTGTAACTATATAAAATAAATCAGAATGTGATATACCTTTGGTATGGGTATTGTAAAGAAGCTATGTGCTGGGAAAAGAAAGATGCTGTGTGAGTCAAAGGGAAGTTTCATAACTCAGTACCTTACTGTGTAATATCTATGAAGGAAGAGGTTTTTGTCAAGTGGAAAAGGAATAGGAAGAATATAAAACTTTCATGTTTGCTGGGTTCTTGATGCTTTGAAAAAATGCACTGCTGACATTTTGAGGTAATAGAAAGATCACTGTAATTGAGAAAGAAGAGTGGAAAGTAGAAACCAGGCAAACAAGGAATAAAAGGCTGCATTTTTTTTCTTTTCTTTTTCTCTGGTTCTTTGAGATAGCTAGTATTGAAAAGCAGTTTAAAATTCAGGAAATCTAATACCATCTTCATTTTTCATCATCTTTCTGGGCTAGGTTTACCATCTGTAATTTGCTCAAAGATACCCACATGGATATTGGCAGTTAGAGCTTAAATTTATGGTATCTTTGGTTTCCCCTTGAGCCAGTCCACTTTTTCATTACACATCACTAGGATATTCTGCTAAACTAATGTGGCATCACCTACACCACCTGTGCACCATGTGCAATATGAAAAGCGTGCAAAATAGGCCAAGAAGCTGACATAGAGCTGAAGGATAAAGGGGTTGAAAACATTTAATTTAGAAGAACTATGAAGATCAGAGACATCAGGATAAGAGCATAATACATTCTTTGTTGTGTTTTTTATTGTCTCAGTGAATATGAGCATTACTACATACACATCACCACCCCTCCCACCACCTGGTTGCCCCTCCTTCAACCTACCACCATTAGAAATAGTCTTATGCATAGCAAGGCCTTTCTTCTATGCTGACCCAGCTATGTTCAAAGCCACAGACTTGAATATACTGATTCAAGTATAATATCCAGTTGATGCAAGCCCTGCTGGTCAAATGATTTTCTAGGACAGAGGGAAGGAGTAAAAGTAAAATACCAAGGAAGAGAAGCCACAAGTAGAAATGTTAATTTAGGTCTTCTGCAAGTAAAGAGAAAGATTATATCGTGTGAGAAGCAAGAGTGTGGAGAAATGGATTGCAGTCTTATAATTTTATTGGATTAATTGTGAGTCCTTGAAGCTTGGTTTTCTCTGTATAACATGAGGGAATTTGTCAGGATGTCCTAATGGTGCCAGTGTGATGTAATTAATTCTATTCAAGAAATTATCCTTATCTTGATTAGGTAAACAGAACTTGATTAATTCTACTCTGATTAACCACTGCCTCTCAAAATGTCCTAGAGGCTTCTACCAATTCTACACAGGAATTCACCATTTTCTCCCAGCAGAAACTAAAAATGTACCCTGTATCACTCAAGATAGAGATCAAGCCAAGATCCAAATGCTCTAAAACATAAAACACTTCTACAGATGGTTGTGGTTTGCCTTGCAAGAGGAGATGGCATTGGTCGGGACAAGATGATGGAGGAAAAGAGGGAGGGGTAGGTATAAAGAAGAGTTTCCTTTAAAACATCAAAAAGACTTTATACATCTTTTCTGCCCTTTCATGAAGACTTCATCTGGCAGCCAGATTGCCTTAATGGTCTGCCTAAAAAGGGCCACCCTGGCCTGACATAGCCAGACACACAATCTCCAGCTTTGCTTCACTTCTTTGATGCTGTCACATGTCCTTCATTTTCCACATTTCATTCATTCTTTGCCTTTAAGCTACAAAGATAAAAGTACCTAGCATTAAAAAAATCAGCTTACATTTTTTTAAAGGGGTAGACATTTCATGCAGCCTTTGATTTCCTTCCAGGAGAAAATCATTACTTTTCTTTAAAGGAGAAACTAAAGAGGTCTTTTTTTTTTTTTTTGCTTCTTTTTCCTCCTTCCCGCCTTTTACCCCAACTCCTCCATTTTCAGCAGTAAGTAATAGCACTGGGTGTGGAGCAGGAAACAGCTAGATAAATAATTTTCTCCTGGAAATCTTTCATGCCACTACAGTGAATTTAAAAAGCCTGAACATTAATTTACTGTTGAAGAATGACAATTAGAATGTTTCAAAGCACTGCACTATATTCAACATCTGTTGAATATGTTAAGATAACTGTATTTAATACTAGGTGGCTTGAAGGAGAAAAGGTAACCAATAGAGTATAATGAGTGTAGCCTGCAAAATCTATGAGGAAGATACATAAGGGACATCTTGTACATGAAGGAGAGTATAAATGAAAACTGAGTAAAAACCTTATAGTATAAAGAAAACCCAGTATGATAGAATCCCTGTGTGTGTGGAAGAATACAAATAATAAAATGAGGTCATAGGGATACACTCTAACCTGTCTCTTCAAAACAGTGAGCCTGATCTTAAAATATGAAGCAACCCAGAGCATCTGTAAAAGAAGAGCAAGTATCAATATTCAGGGTTAAGAGCTGGCCACATATGAAGTGTATGAATACCCACATTGGGGAAAAAAGACATGATAAGATTTTCAGATGAGGTAAGTAACTAACTACATTCTACAGTAGGTGTTTAGAACTCAAATGAAAAGAATATGTCTGGAGATGATCCTTATATTTAAACAAAAACTGATGCTGGAGGTATGTGTAAATGTGTAAAAAATAAAATCACAAAATTCTGGAGGGAGAAGGGAAAAATGAAGAAATCTATCACCCAGCTATTAATCTCCAGGAAAGGAAACTGTGCCAAAATGTGAGAACTGAAAAAAAAAAAAAAAGAAAGAAAGAAAGAAAGAAAAAATCTGCAGTTAAACCACAAGAAATCTGGAAACATTTAGAAGACTTCATTAGAAATTCAATATATATGTATTCTGAGAATCAAACAGATCATGGAATGGTGAAAGGAAAACAAAACTGTGAATATCCAGTGAAGTCAAAGAATCTGTTGTTGGAAAGAGAAAAATAAAATCTTTGAGAAAGAGAAAAACAAAGAAAAGGAACTAGGAAAAATCAACCAGCAAGATTCAGCACCAAGCAAGCAGAATTCTAGAAGGCCCCTAAATATAGCAGGATCCCATAAAAGGCACTAAAAATATATATCATACTAAAAATGTCTTTCAATCAGTTAACTGAGTCTGTTAGCAAGCAATCGTATCTGAAGCTCAAGTGTGCCTGCAGGTACCTGCAACACAATCTTCAAACCCTCCTGCTAAAAATTAAACTCTATTGCACCAAATTTTATATTTTTAAAGATACCCCCAAATCCCAGTTACCCCAGGTCAAAATGTCTGAGTTATTTTTGACTCCCTTATTCTTCCTCATTTCTATACCTCACTCAGTTACCTGGTCATATAGATTCCGTCTTGAAATGACAGTGAACTTCTGTACTTACCTCCAAGATTCAGTGTAATATAATGACTAAGAATAAAGATAGTAGAGTCAACTGCCAGGATTTATACCCTTGTCTTTCCACTTAGTAAGAGCTATCAAGTTACTTAACCTCTGTGTGCCTCTCTTTTCTCATCTGTAAACTGGAAATAATGGTAGTAAAATCCATCATTGGGTTGTGGTAAAGTTAAATTAGTTGATACATGCAAAGTTTGATACATTTAGCTATAACGATGATGATAAGGAAGCTGATGATGAAGATATGATGATGATAAAAATGATTTCAGAGCCTTCTAATCCTTCATGTGACCTGGTCTTTTAATGAGTCTCCCAGATTCTACTTTCTGTTCTCTCGAGTTCAACTTTCGTATCTGTACTAAAGTTGACATCGTACAGCACATATGATGATGTTTTTTCCTCCTGTTCAAAAGCCTTATTGCTTATAGAATTGCTCCTGTATCCATTCACATGATATTTAATGTCCTCCATCATTAGGAATCAATCAACCCAGTATCTACAACTTTTCCTCTGCTCATTTGCCTATTTTTCTCTCTACTCTGATGTGTCCTACTGGTTCTTCCTCAAAATGTGTCCTAATTTTGATATCACTTTATTTTTCTTCTTGCTATTTTTATTATCAGGGATGCTTTTAAATGTAATCTTTGCCTCTTAGAAACCTTTATAGGTGTTCTAATCAGAAATGGTGACTATTCACTAAAATATAAAGATGACCCCTATATTAATACTAAATGGGCAACTGTCATTTATTTGAATAACAGTATGCCAGAAACTCTATCTTATTAGGTAAATACTACCATTATCATCATTTTAGAAATAAGGAAACTTATGCTCTAAAATGTAAAGTAACTTGTTCAAAATAACCCAACCCAAAAGTTGAGACTGATGTACATACCCATTTCTATCTACTTCAAGGGCCCATATGCTCTAACTAACCCATAACACTGCCCTAATACCTGTGTATGTGTTTATTTCTTACCTGATACACTATCCTCTATTCCCACAAGTTAAAAACCTTTTCAAGGTCATTGTCTTACTTGTACATATCTTTCAACACTTTATGCTGTGCCTTCCATGCAATAAGCATGCAATCATGATGAATTTAATTGAATTTCTCTGGTACTTACAAAAGTGTGCATAGCCATGCTGGAGGTGTGGGATGCAACCATGTCTTGTTTCCTCAGTTTTAAATCTAGGGTGTTTCCTTAAAAAGGAGATCATCTATCAGTTTAGTTTTATCCCCATCACTTCAATCATTCTGTCTCTAGAGGTCACATATGGATAATTCTCTGCTTCAATGTGTATCAAAACTAATAGCCTGCATATGCCTAAAGTCAAAATCTATCAATAAGGCCAAATTTGAAAACTCAAAGGAGATACTGATCAAAGGAATATTTATTACATGTTATGCAGGTGTAAACAGAGACCAGCAATTAGACCTAAGCTTCAACTCCACCCCATGTTCTTTGTTTACAGATATCTCTCAGCAAATCTACAATAGTCATTGTGATGGCAAAATTTGGACTTTTATCTGTGTATTACCAATATATAGCACAAAGGTTACTATAAAATAAAAACTCAAGAAATATATCTATTATGAGAATGTACAAAAATATACATTACCAGGATCAACTCTCTCCTAAAATTCAGATTCTGTAGGTCTGTTATGGGAATCAGACATCTCTACCAAAAAAACAAGCAAGCAACAACAATATCAAAAAAACAGGTGATTCTTTATTGCCTTTTCTCCATTCTGTTTAGAAATATTAGGAAAGATTTTCTCTAGACAGTCTTCTTATCTTCTTTAACCTTTCATCTACCCCTTCTTCACCCACATGTAAACACCTACCCTGAAAAAATTGAGTCCCATCTTTGGGCATCTCCATAGCATCTTGTCATAGCACTCATGATGCTCTAATTGCTTGTTTTAATTGGCAGACTTCTAGATTAGGCTCTAAGTTTCATGAGTGCTAGACTATTTCTATTTTGTTCACCATCTTGTATATATATTTCTATATATATATAAGTTCAATATATATTTAATTTAAAAATCCAATGTTTTTATAAAGAAATAAATGAGGTAACTAATTTCTAAAATATGGTATCTATTTTACTGTAGAAAATGTATTTTCTGAAAAGAACCTTAGGAATAACTGAAATAGTTCTTCATAGCATTATTATTTGGCTGCATCATTTGCTACAGAGGTGTCATGAATGCTCTTGGAATCTACCAGTACCTACCAAGTTATTTCCATGGGAGAATGATTTCTAGTCCTTTTAATTTAAAAGAACTTTTCAAACATAACACATTTGGAGACTATCTGCACAGATCAGGCTAGCAATTCCCATTGACACTGAAACACAACATGTTCTATGCATTTTAAATAAAACTTGTGTCTTTTTGTCTTTAAGTTTTCTTCCATGACTGTTCTACAATAATGGTTCCTAAATGCAATCATTGGATAGACTGAAACACAGTTACCTGGGTGATCTTTATCAAAATATAGATTCTTGATTCCCACGAAAGAGATTTTCATTCAACAAGTCTGTGATGGGATCTGTAAATCTAAATTCTTAAATCTCATTGTAAGGAAATCAGATGCGTAGACATCTGATTGGAAAATCAGTCTTGGGTCACAGTGGCAATGAAGATGGGAGTGTGGTATCTGAATGATAATGGCTGTCTATCTTAGGATATTGTGATGAATAATAACAATAATTTGTCTGAAAGTGCTTTGTGAAAATAAGGGGACATATAAAGGCTAAGTATTTAGGAATGTTTTAACGCTTTTACTTTGCATAAGTTATATTGATGTCATCATTATGCAACACTTGCAAGGGTTTCTGATACTGTGAATGATGTGCCTCCTTAGGAAATAGGTTCATTTTGGATGTCCTAAGTCATTATAGACATAAACTTCCTGTGTAGATTTGGAAGTAAGTATTTTTAAAATAATTGTGTCAGTTCAAAACTTCATCATCAATCTTGTACTTGGGGCTGACAACTGAGGAATTATGTGTTGAATTATGACTTTTCAGTTTGGACTGTAAATCTGCCCTTTGTTACTATGTTAGTGTAACTCTAGAGAAGGAAGGATCAAAGAAGCTTAAACATAATGACTCAACTAAAGGTGTTTGAATTGTTTGGCAGTGTTGTGATTTTTACAACTAAGTTATACCTGGATGAAGTATGAATTTTTCAAATTTGTCATTTGAAAAAATGATTGACCAAATGAGCAAACATCTCCAGATCTGACTCCAAGATGTTTGTTATAATGCTATTATAAGGATGTTATATGTACTTAAAACAAATACTACTTCTTTGGCCAAGCACAATTCCTACATACAGGGCAAAACTAATGGTTAAAAGAGTCACTTGGAGTACAAAACACTATGAAAATTATCTTGGACTGTTCTTGGCCAACTTTCAGCAGCACTCATATGCTGCTGTTATTTCAGCAGCTCTCTCAATATTCTACAAATCATATTCATGGAATCACCTAACCCATGTTAAGGATACAACCATCTTTGTGGTAAAAAGTGACAGCTGTTTAACACAGCACCGGCCTGCAAAACATTACATTGAGGTTATTATTATCTCCTCAAAACTTTAGAAAAATTTTGTAGTAATAGCCATCATAATGGCTATATTTTGTATTATGCTGGTTGCTTTGCCCTACTTATAAACTAGAGATGTAATTCAGTAAAGAAAGCATAACTTTTGTATGTAACAAAATAATTAGCCTATAAAACTATTGGTCATCAAATACAGGCATATTTCACATTTTCTCTTATTCCTCTACTTCCTCAACCTTGAAAAAGAGCAATTTATTACATCATAAGAAGAATTGTGTGACCTTTTTCTATTAGCCAATAGTCGTTTCAAATCACACCACCTATGTTCTTCACTCTCCCAGAAATCTTCCCTATGGAACAGCTCTTTTCCTCACCGTAACAGGTATTTAACTAGTTTAATATCATTTATAATGCTCTAGCTTTTAACAGAAAAATGATAAAAAAAAAAAAATCTGGGATAAAAAAATCCAAATCTTCCTAACTCCACATTCAGGTAATGAACTCTCATTGCATCTTGTATTTTGTGTGTCTTTCCTTTATAGTTATAATTATATGTTCATTTGAGCAGTTATTTGAATAATGTCCATTGCCTCAGTTGAACTCTAAGTTCCATGAGAGCAGAGACTGTATTCATGTAATGCACGGATATACCCCCAAGACAAAGCATAGCACCTGACATATATTCATTGTACATATTACCTCTGCCATTCTGGAGACTAAGTATATGAGTATAATCTCAAAAACATTTGTAATTTGAAAAAATGATTGAACGAAAATGAGCAAACATCTCCAGATCTGAGTCCAAGCTGTTTGTCATAATGCTATTATAAATATGTTATAAGTACTTAGAACAAATACTACTTCTTTGGCCAAGCACAAACATTCCATTTAACAACAACAACAAAAACTACTAAAAAGACTAGGAGGTCAAAAGTATTTCTTTCTAGCAGCAATTAATTAGATACATTTTCTGACATTAATATTCTTGGGGACTGTTAACATACTCACTGATATGGTTTGGATTTTTATCCTTGCCCAAATTTCATGTCAAAATGTAATCCTCAGTGTTGGAAGAGGGGCCTGGTGGGAGCTGATTCAATCATGGGGCCAGATTTTCCCCTTGCTGTTCTCATGACAGTGAATGAGCTCTCATGAGATCTGGTTGTTTAAAGGTGTGTATCACCTCCCCCTTCACTCTCTTCCTCCTGCTCCGGCCATGTAAGACATGCCTGCTTCCCCTTTCAGCATGATTGAAAGTTTCCTGAGGCCTCCCCAGCTATGCTCCTGTACAGTCTGTAGAACTGTGAGCCAAGTAAACCTCTTCTCTTTATAAATTACCCAGTTTCGTGTATTTGTTTATAGCAGTATGAGAAGGGACTGATACACTCACCTAATCAATTATTCCCTCTCTAACCACTTCCCTCTACCCAAATTCATCCTCTGATGTGCAACCATCAAGCATAGATGGTATTCTCCAATGGGGAGTGCTTGAGTACAGAAATTATGTGGTCCTGTGATCTTACTAGTGTGTTTATTTTCTAAGCAGGGAAATTATTTGAGGAAGTGACCACAGATGAAACTGTTTCCAGATGTCTACAAAGGTTTTTGGGTTTTGTGGGGACTGAAGTACAGCAGGAAGCAGCATAAGCAGACAGAAAGAAGCCTTAGTGTGTAAGTCCTTGTTTTCACCCTGTTTGATTATATTCTTGAGAAATTTAAACTGCATCACAATCATAGGGATTATCCTGCAGGAAGGAGGAGGAGGCCACTGCTGTTAAGAGGCATTTTTTTTTTTTAGGTAGTAAAAGTTGGGTAGCTGAGACCATTGCAGAGGCAGTGGGATACAATATCTTCACATGAAATGTAAAGTGATTAAAACCCAATTTGATAAAATCCCAAAGACTGAGACTGCTACAGGAGCAGGAAAGAGGAAAGAAAAGACAGTGAGATCATATAGCACTAAAGGAACTTCAGGTAGGGAGTTTTATCAAGATAGAACTTCCAGTTTTGTCTCAAATGACTGCTGAATTCCTTTTATTTAATTTTAAAATTTATTTATTTTTATTATCTGTTTTGAAGGGTGGGATAGAGAGCCAGATGAGAAATAGATTTGGTTTATCTTGGGCTCCCAAGTGACAAGAATCTGTTTCTTTGTTTGGTAGCCTTTTTTTAAAGAGGTGCAGATTATCTGTTACCTACATATCTTAAACCATCCTAGTCCTTCTTAGCATTCATAGTATATTTCCTCTATTTCATACTGTGCCTTCTACTCTCTCTGTATGTTGCTGGTTTAGGTACTAAGGCTTAGATTTATCATTGCCTCCTAACTGATGTACTTGCTTTAAATCTCATCTCTTTTGGCCGGGCGTGGTGGCTCACGCCTGTAATCCCAGCACTTTGAGAGGATGAGGTGGGCAGATCACTTGAGGTCAGGAGTTCGAGACCAGCCTGGCCAACGTGGTAAAACCCCATCTCTACTAAAAATATAAAAAATTAGCCGAGCATGGTGGCGTGTGCCTGTAGTCCCGGGTTCTCGGGAGGCTGAGGCAGGAGAATCACTTGAAACTGGGAAGCAGAGGTTGCAGTAAGCTGAGATTGTGCCATTACACTCCAGCCTGGGTGACAGAGCGAAACCCTGTCAAAATAAATAAAAATTAAGTCTCTTCCCTTTTGCATGCATATGTATTCATGTGCAAGCACACATGTACACACACACACACACACACACACGTACACAAGACTATCAGAGCAATAGCCCTCAAAGACAGGTATTATTACCTACTAACCCTGCTTTCAGTGTTTTCTCATTTCATCATTTAAGCTCTAAGCTCCTCTTTTCAATTTTCAAGACTGCCCATTGATTTAACTCCAGTATCTCTGATAGAATTTAGCACAATCTGCCATATATCCTAGCAGCTGTTTTATAGAAGCATAATTCTCTCCATTTAGACTGTGAGCTTTTACAAGTCAGGGACATTTTTTTAACTGCTTCATCCCCATAATAACTAGGATGTGATTCCCTATAGTAGGTGCTCAATAAATGCTAAATGAAGGGGTGACTACTTTTCCTGAGTTTGACGGCAATCTCATCTAGGCCACAAGAGAAACCTGATAAAAATACCAGCTCCCCTCACTTTTTTTCTCATGAAACTAATTTTTAAAACTTTCCACAAGGTTGATTATACTTCTCATCCTTGGATAATTTTAAAAGAATTATTTTTATTGTATTATTTTGTTAGTTTAGTTTAGTTTTTAAGTTTTCACTCTTTTGGTTTATTCACATGTGGCATTTCACATTGTAAAATGCATATATCACATCTGTGGCTACATTGTGAAAACTTACCAACCTATTTTGCATTTATTGAATCTCAAGAAGCCTATATCCTGCTTGCCTTGTGGGAGATTTCTTATGTAGAGTATTCATGTGCTCTGTATTACACAGATTCCTATTAACTTCCACCACAGCAAGATGTCTCTTGTTTGATTTTGACTAGTTTCCTGTGTCACTTATAAAATGTAGGATCCAAGTATTCCTTATCTTAAATCTCTGAGACATACTACAATTCGGAGATGTCAGCCTTGGAAATTATTGTTCCTTCCTATAATCAGTGTTATATAAAGCCCTAACAGAAGCACACAAGCACTGCACCTTAGGTATGTAATGCTTACTGAACTTACTGAATCTCAGGGCAGTGGTTTTTAAACTGTATTCCAAGGACTTCTAGCATTCATTAGAAACCTCTCAAGATGTTTCTTATAAGAAAAGCTACTACTTTTGCCAACTTTGCTTTTATCTAATTATGTAACTTGGGTTCCAAGTAAGATTTACTTTGGAAAAAACACAACACCACAATTTTCAAACCTTAACAAAAAAAAAGTGAAATTAACTATGTTAGAAGATAAATAGAAAGATATAGAAACCTAATACTAACCTTAAAGAACGCTTCGATTATTGGAAGCTTTTTAACACCTATTTCTCATTTTATTTAATGCTCATGCCATTTGAAAGTCACTTATGTAGACCAGATGTTACTGGTTTCTGTTCCTATTGATATGATAATCACACCACTTCCCCTCAAAAAATGACCCAGGATTTATTTTTTCCTGTAAGTATCTACTGAGTCTCTCCATGTGCCAGATATTAGATATGATGCCAGTTATAACAACTAGTTTAAACAAACAAACAAAAATTTGGTATGGTTCCCATCATTATGTACCTTATTATCTAATGGAGCTTGTGTTTTCATACCCATCATTCCTGACACTAACAAAGAACCTTTGGTTGCCTGGTTGATTGTTTAGTTATTGGCTTCTTTAGTTGGTTGCTTCATCCTTTCACTACTTTGACAAGTAAGATCATGGCAGCGGTTGAGGCAGGGCAACATGATGGAATGGTGCTAATTGCTCTTCCATTTGCAATAATCTTTGGCAATGGTCCTTTGCGTTCCAGTTTTAAATATGGAATTGTTACTTCTGTACTAGTACTGTACTTAAAATTTCCCTTTTATTTTTCCCTGTTTTTCTTGCAAGCTAATACCTCCCTACCTCTTTTGATAGCAGAGGTTATTTTTTATAAATTCATGAAATCCTCCATTTTCTACTGCTTCTGGTGCAATTCTTTACACATATAGAGTACTCCATAAAGTGTCTGAAATTGCCAGTTATATTTCTGCATTTCTGGCTCTATGAGTGAGGATAATGACTGAACTATTGCAGGTATTTTTGAGCCTCATGCCAAGCTCTGTCAAGGTAGAAGACTATTCTTACCAGGGATATTGTGTCAGGACTGTATATATCAAGTAAAGTGTTAAATTGGGTGACCTCCAAAGCTCCTCTACTTCTTAATTTTTACGATTCTGTGTTATTGCACAAGGATGCAATTTTATAAACAGAAAAATAAGTTTGCCTTTGGGTGTTAGGCTTTCATATCCTTCAGTGTGAGTTTTCATTGGATTTACTATAACCATTAGCAGTGTTCTCTGCATTGTACTGAAAGTACCAGAAACTTTGGCTCTGCTTCTTAGCATAGAAATGTCTTTTTCACAAATCATCCTGCAAATATATCTACTTATACCCATATGACACTCACTTTGACCCAGTCTCTTTTTTTAAGAAAAAAAAGGGAAAGATTATAAGATATAAATATGTATGATTTAATGTGGGTATGGGTATGTGCTTCCATAGATCTGCTTCCTCGTCACTTTCCTTGGGTGTACACCTCTCCTACATTGAATCAATGTTTATTGATTGATATCAATGTTTATTGATATTTATACTTCCTGGCTTCCCAGCACTGCTCTGGATGTTTAGGTTAAATCAAAGCAGGATACAACTAGATAGGACAAATAAGTTATAGTGTTCTATACCATTGTAGGACGACTATAGTTAACAATAATATATTCCATTGTTTCAAATAGCTGGAAGGAGGATATTGACTGTTCCCAACACAAAGAAATAATAAATATTTGAGATAATGGACTTGCTAATTACATTGATCTGATCACTATACATTATATGTAACATAAATATGTACAACTATTATATGTCAATTTAAGAATTTTTAAAAATGAAAAAGTTTATTTCCCAAAGAAAGAAAAAGAAGAAAGCAAGCAAACCCTTGGCCTTGCAGAGAATAGTCTAAAAAAATATTTTGAATAGTTTAACCTAAAAAAATAACTAAAGAACAATAAACCTAGCTGTCTCAGGATGAGTGTTATATACTGTGAGTAAAGGCTCTTCATGTAAGTTAAAGAACAATTCCAGTGGTGAATATATTTATTAAAGAAGAATTCTTACAGTTTAGACTTGTCCTCATATTGATGGAGGAGACATTTGAGAAGGTGGATAGTGGAGAAGTCGGCATAAGCCAGTGCACAAAAGTGAGACACAAAAGAATAAGGACAGGCGATAGGAAATGAACTGAAGCAAAGGGTCACACATATAGCCAGGTTCAAAGACAAGGATGGAAAAGAGAGTGGTGGATAGGCTAAATGGTGGGTGATTTTGAAGGGAAATTGATGGAGTTTGTATATGATGTGGTAGACGGCAGAGAGTCATTGTCCATGATTTGGATTGAGTGAGTATTGTTTTGTGAGATGGACTTAGCTATGTAGAGAGGAAGAGCACAGCGATAAGAAAGTCAGCTGAAAGACGGTCACAAAAATCACCCTATGAGGTAATAAGTTGCTTAGTCTTCTGGTTGAAGTGAAGGAGAAGGGACAAATATAAAATATGGCTAGATTTGATGAGCAGTAGTTTTATAGGCTAATTCTTTGGGTGCTTTTTAGCGAAGTTATCAGTTTTCTTTACTGAAAAATGCCTCTGGTCCATGAGTAGGCCAAAAGAATGAGCACAATAAAAGACATAGCTATTATGATTGCTATTTTTATAATATCTGTTTCGAGATTTCAAGAGAGAATAATAGTCTTAATGTGGTGTTTGGTAGGCCAGTGCTGTGTTAAACAGCTATTACTTATTACCCTATGGCGGCTGCTTCCCAAAGATGGGTGAAGTGATACCCAAGAATATGGCTTGCAGAATATTTTGGGATCAGCTCACATAAAAGGCACCATAAAAAAGCAAGGTGTCATTATCAATAGTCATAACAGTGTTGGTTGTTATTGTTGTCTTGGGAAGTTTATAAGAACTAATTGCAGTGGCAGCTCATACTGCAGCTATAAGCTATAGAAATAATCTTTTGGGTCATAATATTAAAAATGTCCAAAGGCAGCTAAACAGCCTTTGGAAATAAATGAGGCTGCTTTGATTTTTACCTGTGACAATGCACAAATCTGGCATTTTCTGATTTGGAAAAGTTCTGAGTCTGGAAATTAAACTGTCAGAGTTGAAAAGTATAGGAATGTGAGGACCAAAAGCTGTTTAATCAAAGTGCTGGATACTTTTTCAAAAGGGATAGGAAATAGATTGTCCAATAACAATGGTAACTGTGTGAAATGCATCTTCGGAACAAGGAGAGATGGAAGAAGAGGAAGAAGGCAAGAGAAACTGGAGATTGCTTTCCCAATTGTTAAAAAAAAAAAAAAAAATGTTTTCCCCTCTTCTTCTATTTCTTCTATTATGGCAGGACATAAAATGTTAAATATGCTCTCGCTCATCTTCAATTAAAGCACTTGCCTTTGTAATTCTTCTATATTCCACTGATTCAAATTTCTGGGGTTTCAAAATATTTAATGCCAAAGCAGTATTATACACATAATAGAAACCTAGTATGTGTATAGGTTTGCACACATATATTTTCCATTTTTAATGGTCCTATCCCTACTATAAAGAAAGTGGTAACAGAAGGTGACAGAAAATGATTTACACATTTTTTAACTCCTGAATTATTAGTGGGCATTTGCCACTGGATTATAAATTCTAGAGTTACTATTAGTGTTTTTCTAATGGATCTTTGTTATCCCCAAGTTGGTCAGTGTTCAGCCATTTAATTGGCAAACTGAAAAGGCCATGGTCTATATCATATTCTGTTGCACCAACATTTAGATGAAGCAATTAAAACAAATGTAGTGGGATTTACCCAAATAGAGGTCTGCTTTGTTACAAGAGGCCCATGCTTGCATCCAGGACAGCTAACCTGCCTCCTTTTTTGTCACTTATTCATCCAACATTTATTGAATGACAGTTCTGTACTCAGCTCCATTTTTGTGTTAAGATTGCAGGGATGTGCAAGTTACCCATAACCATAAAGGACTTTGACCATAGGAAGAACACTAACCTTGTTCTTTTAGTTATCATAACATTCATGTATGTTGAAATAAGTCGATCTTAAGATTTTTGAGAATTTAGTGGATAGCACTATTTACAATTTACTCAGCTCTGTGTTTTATTTGAGAAGGTGGGACTCTTTTTTTTCTCTCATTCTATCATTTCCCATCCTCTTTCCCAGTAGCCATTGTCGATGTGGAAACTGTTATGTTTCCTGTCATGAAGAGGGGAAAGAAACACTTCACTCAACAATGCCAATATAAGTGAACCAACCCTTACCTTTAGGTTATCAAGCAAAACTTGAATCATGACACTAAACATCCATTACACTAATGATTCTGAAAGCAGTCCTTCTTGAGAGAAGAATTGAGAGAAATTAGGTGCTTATATTTCTATCCCACATCCTCTCAACAACATGATTCTGAAAGCAGTCCTTCTTGAGAGAAGAATTGAGAGAAACTAGGTGCTTATATTTCTATCCCTTATCCTCTCAACAACATTGCTACCATCTTTCTTGGGAGTTTTCAAATGCTCTTAAATCTAGGTTTGAAGTTGCCTTTGTCCCTACTGCATTTTTTATGCTCTATCACAAGCTAAAGCAAAAAATATTAGTTGTTGGGGAAGCCCCAGTAACAAATTCCAGATATTTATATTGAGCGTCTATAGATATTCTCAACCCCAGAAGAAGTAAGAGACACTGACAATTACGGTAAAAGAACTTAACAGCTTTCAAGTAAAAAAAAAAAAAAGGAAAGCCTTAAAATAATGAAATTGATCCAGTTTTACTTCTTACCAATTCTCTGGTAAAATTTTAACCCTTTTTGCTGTCAGATTATAGACGGTTGTGAACATATAAACTACATATAAACTATTATCTGTAATTGGCGCATGGCCAGCAGTCATTTTTTTAATCATTAATCTGTACATAGACACTTACTCAGTACCTGACATGATCTAGAAGCTCAATTGATATTTATTAAATATATAAATTTATTTATTTATTTAACCTTTTGGAAGAAGGTCAATAAAACTATTCTGTTTTTATAGTGTTGGTGGTTACATGACTGTGCATTCATCAAAACCAATAAAATTGTGCACTAAAATAAGTAATTTTATTGTATGTAAATAAAAAGTTTTTGAGTGAATGGATGCTCACCCCATGAAGGATCCATGCATGCCTATTCAGTCTTCCTTTTATCGATCAGTCATTTTTTGAGGAACCACAATGAACTGGTCACTGTTTGAACTCCAAAGAGATAGAGATAAATAAATGGTCTCTTTTGCTCCTGTCTAAAAGTTGATCCTCTCTTCTCCACCTGCTCCTTATACTCCAATCTCTTATAGTTTCCTTTTGTCAAAACTTCACCTTACTAGGGTCCCATGGATGATGGCTTCTCAGAGGACAGAAGGGCCCAGAGATTCTGGATTCTTTGGATTTAGAGATGACTCAAGGCCAAAATAAAATCCTATTTTATTGATATTATGGGTGATAAGAAGTTGTGCTTTTATTTGCCCAAATACTTGCTGGCAAAAATATGTTCATGGTTCAGATTATCAGATTTAAAAAAATCAGGTAGGGCCACCTACAGTTGTTCTGTCATTTGATTGTTATTTGTGGAGGTAACATGATGATGGTATTAAGATAATAGGAGCAGTAGTAAGAGTGATAATACTTTGAGTGTAGTGATCAGACTTGGTTTTCTATTTAATATAACTCAATTTTGTTGTGAGGTTTCTATATTCCTGCATGATTCAATGAAATGTGATCTCATCTCTAGCTAATATAGTCTTATTAATCCAAACCAATAATAGTAATCCTATTCCCCTTCTCAGCAATTGGTATAGAATGTAAAAATCAAATGCTTGTTAAACATTTTCTATGTGCCAGCTACTGTTCTAAGCACATGATTTGTATTAACCCATGTAATCATCACAACAATCCAATGTGGAATGCAATATTATGACCTCCATTTATAGATAAGGAATTTGAAGCACAGAGAAATAAAGCAAAGCCCAAAGTTAAATAGTTCTGATGCACAATGCTGGAATTCAAACTCAAGTCATCTTATTCCAGTTTTCATGCTTTTAGCACTATATTAACCTGCATACAACCCAATTCTTGTCCATGAGATATGAGAAAAATAAACTGTTGAAAATTTCTCGGTTTTCTTGCACCTCAGGATTGAACGAACATAGAGAAAGAAGAGCCAGGAACCACAGAGACAGCAAAGTAATGGTCAGACACACAACCCTGGAGCCTGCCCAACTTGTGTACCTCTTATTATGTGAGATAATAAAAGTCTTCATTGTGTAAATCAGTTTGAGTCAGGATGTTCTCTTCTTTTATAGCCAAAATCATCCAAGTAGTTATTAATATATTGAATGCTAATTTCACTGCTTCTCACATAGCAGGTGTGCTACATGTAGTGTCTTATATAACCTTCCAACCTAAAATCGTTGTTATTATACCCCTTTCCAGACTGAGGGTTAGAAAAGTTAACTAATTCGCCACAATCGTATAGCAAGTAATGTCAGAGGCTGGTATGCTAGCTCTTATAACACATGTTCTTAAACACTCTCCACAACTATGTCTATTTTCCCAATTATAAACATAATCTCATAATAATAACTTTTTTATCCAGTGCCTGTTATACAAAACAAATTTTACTTCTTATAATATGAAAGGTAATTATAAAATCTGGATGTTTTCAGTTGTTAAATTTTCACAGAGTAGCCACAAAGCGAGTACATTATATATATTCTGCTATCTTATGCCACTAAGCAATTAGATTAAATAAAAAATACTGGCTTCCTCCGATTGGCTTATAAAACAAGCCAAGGCAATTGATAGGCATTGTGACTTCTTCGTTACTTTTTTCTTGCTTTGGATGCAGATTGGAAAAAAATTTCCAAATTGAATTTTATTTAGTTATGTCTAATCTTATACATAGAGGCTTGTACCACATTGCCTTATTGAAGAGCAACTTAAAAAAATGTTGGCATCTTAAAAATCTAAACACTAAAGCAAAGTACACAGACAAGCACAATATATAGATTAATAATTATCAAGAAAGCTAGCTGGGTGTATGATTATGATTTATCATAGGTGAGGTTTAAGCTCGTTAATTCGCTGGAAATTGTTAGTGCCCATCACTGGTGTTTACAGCCTGTAACAAGAGTCACAGGCCTTTCTCACACTCATGCCCACTTGTTTTAAAAGTTTCCTGAATGGTAGGCATCAAAAATGAATGACTCAATTTTCACAAGACCCGCTGTCAGTAATCAACAGCATGAGTGGCGAGAAAAGTCAATTAGATTTAAGAAATACTCCCAGCTGAAAAATTCAATAATTCTTCTGTTTCTACAAAGAATGAAATGAATTTAAGAAAATAAGGTTGTCTTTGGAGGGTGTGGCTTTAAAATGAAGAATTTATAAAATGAGCTTAATTTTTAGAAGGCCTGCCTTACAAACAGTGATGGCTTTCTCTGTGAGGAATGGGGATTGTTCTGTTGGCATTGCTGGGCTTTGGACCTTCTGAACACAGTCGTAGGGCTGTGTATTGTTCACTGCTACATCCTTCATAATGTGAAGAAGAAAGGAAGAAGAATGTGAATGGGAGGGAAGCAGGCTCTGGAAGCTTAACCTATGATGGATACCTTAGCACATGTGCTCATCCCTTTCCTAAGCCTATCTTCCCACTTTTTTCTCTGGTCAGGATGTGAACTAGAAAACAGAAACAGGTCCTCAAGCACAACTGTTCCACTTCTAGATTCACTACAGCCATTTTGGGAGAAAAGCAATTTAAGTTTTGGTGTTCCTTGCTTTTTTTCCCCCCATATGCCTTATCCTGACTCCCAACAGTAGAGAGCAGAGCTATTTATTTATCTATTATCGTGAGAGACAGGGTCTCAATCTGTCACTCAGGCTGGAATGGAGTGGCGTGATCATAGCTCCCTGTAAATGGAACTCCTGGGCTCAAGGGATCCTCCCACCTCAGCTTCCCAAGTAGCTAGGACTACAGCCATGTGCCATCACATGCAGTTAATTGTTTTTTAAATTTTTTGTGAAAACCGTGTCTTGCTGTGTTGCCCAGGGTGATCTGAAAATTCTGGCCTCAAATGATCCTCCTGCCTCAGCCTCCCAGGGTACTGGTATTACAGGCATGTGCCTAGCCCTGGTTTATATCTCTATCTCTCTCAAAATAGTATTCATTTTAAAAAAGGACAATGGTAAGATAGCAGAGTTAGATTTAGTGTTTAGAAATATATAATGAACTGTACTGTGCTTTGGGGGAATTAAATTAAAAACTGGTACCTACCAATATCTAATCCATAATAGCTCCTTGATTTATCCTAAGCATTAATCACTAATGGTGGAATTGTTGGCATCAGTGGGGAAGATGTTCGGGTCATTGAGGCTGCCCTGCACCCTGTCACCTCACACCATGGGAGCAAACACCTATTGCATAGCCAGGGGTATTCCAATCAATTTGTGTCAGAACTCCATAAGTTAGGAAGCAGATATATGCTGAGAAAAAGCAGAAGGAAATGCCTTTCTCCACAGGACTTTTGGGGGACATTCTTAGAGGTTGTAAACATCAAAATAATCTCATTAAAATTTTATGTCTTATCTCTGGGATGAATTTCTATCAAAGGACAACTTGGCAATCATGACAAGGGGTGGATTGATTGGAACAAAACTGACAATAAAATGATGGGTTTTTTTTTCTCTCTTGTTTCAAATGTAAATGAATGTTCTTTGATTCTCAGGAAATGCAGCTATAGTTCTGCCTCCCACCATGGCACAGAGAGAGCTCCCCTCCAGGGATATCATCTCTTATACCTGACAGATCCATTGGTCAGTAAAAAAAAAATAATAATAATAAAAGCTTTCAAGATATCTTTCCCAAATCAAACACAGTGGTGATGGGCTGGTGGAGTTCTTTGTATTATTTAGAAAAAGGAACAATTTGAATAACTTGTTTATTTCCACCAATATATCTTGAAATATTTTTTAAAAAATACTTTAAGATGGATAGTTCTGCTTATCCTAGGAATATGGGCTCAACCTGCTGAGTCTGTTGGGACAGAGTTGGTTTTCCTTCTTCAATTCTACTCTTCCATGGGCCCCTTCCTTTTCTTTCATCCCCTGGCTCAGTACTTGCTACTTTACTCTCACTGCTCTTTTACCCCTTGCCCAGTGCTTCTCCTTTTGATGGCTGTGCCTCTGTTCCTGCTCAGCTTTCAGTCTTCATATTCACACACAGATTTATCTCTGCCCTGTTTTTGAATTGGCAGTACATAATAACCCTACATTATTATACATAGTATGTTGTATATAAGGGGTGTGGGCTGAGAGGTGTTGAGAATAGCATATGCCAAAATGTTTCTCCATGAGGGCAGAGGCAGTATCTGCCTTGATTACTGCTTATATTCTCTACTTACATCACTTATATAGTAATTGGTCCATGACAAGAATTCAATAGATGGATGGAAGGACAGATAAATGGATAGAAGCGTGGAAGAATGAACAGATGGATGGATAAATGGATGGATAGATAGACAATCAGAGAGATGTATATAGATCAGATAGAAAGGCCAGCTACACTCTTTATGAGATCCTGTATCCTTTCTCATTTCAATTCAACTTCATTGTGTTTACATAGTCACATCTTTTCCTCTATCCTTTTGGATGAGTGGATTTGTGTAATAACCTCTCAGTCCAAATAATACTATGAAGAAATATGTCTTCACTCATGTGCAGTACAACTACATAAATTGTGAGCTGGATATGAAGATGCAAAAGCATAAGAATGATATAATGGACTTTGGGGACTCTAGCTGGGAAGGTTGGAGGGGGGATAAGGGCAAAAAGACTACATATTGGGTACAGTGTACACTGCTTGGGTGACAGGTGCACTGACATCTCACCACTAAAGAGCTTATCCATGTAGCCAAAAACCTCCTGTACCCAAAAAACTATTAAAATTTAAAAAAATTAAAAATTTTAGGGCCAGGCGCAGCGGCTCACGCCTGTAATCCCAGCACTTTGGGAGGCCAAGGCGGGCGGATCACGAGGTCAGGAGATCAAGACCATCCTGGCTAACACGGTGAAACCCCGTCTCTACTAAAAATACAAAAAAATTAGCCGGGCCTGGTGGCGGGCGCCTGTAGTCCTAGCTACTTGGGAGGCTGAGGCAGGAGAATGGCGTGAACCCAGGAGGTGCAGCTTGCAGTGAGCTGAGATCGCGCCACTGCACTCCAGCCTGGGTGACAGACAGAGTGAGACTCCGTCTCAAAAAAAAAAAAAAAAACAAAAAAAAAACTAAAAATTTTAGATTTAAAAGTTGTGAGCTGGATAGGTTTGATGATGTGACATCAGGTCATAAAATTCTGCAAATGGATTCTAAATGTATATACTAGATTTTTTTCTGGATACAATGACTATATATTTTTGAAGCCTATGGTCCAATGCAATTATAAAAAATGCATACATATATATGTACATATATACATGCATATATACACAGACACACACTCACAGGCATAACAAAATGGTGTTATCGTTGTTTCAGTGCTGAATGCCTGCAGTTGCTTATAACAATGCTGCAAATTGAAAGCCAGTATAGCATAGTTCCTAGGAGCATAGACTGTGGAGCCAGACTGCCTGGGTCCACTTGTTAGTTCTGCCACTTGTAATTTTGTGGATACAGACAAGTCACTGAAGATCTCTGTGCCTCAGTTTCCTCATCTAAAAAATAGGAATCATAATAGTACCTGGCTCCTTAATTTTGTGTAAGGACTAAATATCTTAGTATGCAAAGCACTTAGAACTGTGCCTGGCACATGGCAAGTGCTAGAGAGAGAGCAGTTGTGAGGAGATAAATTGGGGTATTGTTCCAATGGCAGAAGGCTGCTGAAAGTTTTTCTTTCTGAGTATTTACTACTACATCAATCATTCATTCATTGATTCAGCATGTAATTGAGCAATGACATGACAGGTATTATGGTAATCACTGGGGCTGAATAGGGGATAAAATAGACAAGTTCCCTGGCCCACCACAATTAGCATTCTCTATTGCAACAAACATATGAACATATAAAGAACAAGGAAATACACACATACACACACATATGATGTTTTTAGATGGTAATAAGGGCTTTAGAGATTATGCAACAGAGCTAAAGGGATCAGGATACCCTGGATGGGGTGGGAAGGGAACTGAGAACTCTAAGATGAGAAGAAGCCAATTATGCAGGGAACCAGGGAGAGATATTCCAGGGCTCAGCCATGCAGGCCCCTGGTGATAAGAAGTTTGGCATATTTGTAGCATTAAGAACAAGAGGGGAGTGACAGCAGATGAGGCCTGTGGGGTAGAGAAAAACTAACCCATTAAGACTAGCCTGCCCTGCTCACATTTCTCTCATAATTAAACACAATCTATCTGGACCATCCTTAATTTGCAAAGCACAGATAGATCTAAATTTTCCTTAATTATTATTTCCTCTTTGGTGGATTTCTGAAAAGAAGTGTGTGTGTGTGTGTATGTGTGTTTGTGTTCAGACATCTGCCTATCTATAGCTAAGCTTCTGATTAACCAAGTTTTAATCTATCTACCTCATTGCGCTTTGCTATTTTCTCTTTCTTTATCCTCCAATTGCTCCACTAGGTGGGGGGTCTGGAGGGCAAACACATTCATTATGTTGCCAGCAAACAAGATAGGAATTGCACTGCAGGGGACAAAATTAAATTTACAGCTTTCCCTTGTAGATGTCATAAACTATTGATTTAACACAAGAGGAGAAAGCTGCAATGATGGGGGCACAACTGCAGCGTATAGCTGGACTGTGTCTGGGGAGAGGTCAGCAATGACTGCCAACAGCCAAGTCCAGACATCTGAGATCAACTCCTGCCCACAGGCAAAGGGTGAAGGAAGCTAGACTTGGTATGCTTGCTATAAGAGCAAAATTTCAACCTAGAAGCACGGTCTGCTCAGACATACTATCTGTACACCTGGATGAAGCATTGCATGATTAATATGGAGAGAACAGATTTAGTGAATGTTTACATCAAGTATCTTGGAGTCTTTGACCTGTGAGGGGCTTTAAAAAAGTAACAAGTGAGGAGTCAGGCTCAGAGAGGCAGATAACCTGATGAAGACTCTATCTCATAAATAATAGACAAGTTTAGTTCTCTTCCTATAGGAAGCCTCTTGCTGATACCTCAGTACTAGTTAGGAATGACTCCTTCATACTCCCCCAACACCATGTACTTGGCACTGACATTGTTTCCTGGTCATCAGCCTTACTAAGCTAGATGCTACTTGAAAAAAAAAAAAAATATATATATATATATATGGATATATATATATTTGGATTATATATATATATTTGGATTATATATATATATATTTGGATTATATATATATATTTGGATTATATATATATATTTGGATTATATATATATATATATTTGGATTATATATATATATATATATATTTGGATTATATATATATATATATATATATTTGGATTAGTGACCCCATGTTGATTTCAAATGAAACAAGATTACTTACTAAACAGTTTATTCTCCACACTCTTATCTTCGTCTGTTTAGGTTGGTGCAAACGTACTTGTGGTTTTTGCCATTGCTTTTAATGGCAAAAACCGCAATTATGTTTGCACCAACCTAATAGAAACCTCTGCTTTTCCTCATTTTATTTAGTATTTGGCACAACTCTTACATGATGGAGTCAGGAATGAAAAGGAAGAATGATTGCCTCTGTTGCACAATTTCAAAAAGTTTTAAGCAGATTCTGTTGCTCTATCCATCCTAATAGTATGTTGGTGAGTGTTAAATAATCTAACTGTGGAAACCAGACACTTCTTTCTAACTGCATTTTGAATCAATAAATAGGACAGGAATTTAAGAAGCATGGTGTATGTTTGGATTAAAAAGCACTATTACCCAATATTTGTACAAATATTTGTCATATTCATGATTCAAAGGACCCAGCTCAAGCTGATAATTTAGTAGGTATAATGTTAAAATACAAAACGAAAGTCAGTAATACATACATTTTTCTAGCAAACTTTAACCTCAGCTATGAATCTGTCTGGATAACTCAGAGACTCCTCAACATGTATGTATGATCCTTATTTCCAAATGCAAAAGCATTTTGAAAACTCCAGATTATATATGTGTGATCTTATTCGTTTTTTTTGTGTTTTTTTAAGGAAAAATCTTTAAAAAATGAAGGAAATCCAGATATTAAGAAAACATGAGAATGAATATGAAAAATGTGGCATGAAATTTTAAAATTAGAAGAGTCTAAGAACTTGTATCAATATTTTTTTTAATCTTTTTTTTGGAGAGGATGTGGAGAAATAGGAACACTTTTACACTGTTGGTGGGACTATAAACTAGTTCAACCATCGTGGAATTCAGTGTGGCGATTCCTCAGGGATCTAGAACTAGAAATACCATTTGACCCAGCCATCCCATTACTGGGTATATACCCCAAAGGATTATAAATCATGCTGCTATAAAGACACATGCACACGTATGTTTATTGCGGCACTATTCACAATAGCAAAGACTTGGAACCAACCCAAATGTCCAACAATGATAGACTGGATTAAGAAAATGTGGCACATATACACCATGGAATACTATGCAGCCATAAAAAATGATGAGTTCATGTCCTTTGTAGGGACTTGGATGAAGCTGGAAACCATCATTCTCAGCAAACTATCACAAGAACAAAAAACCAAACACCACATGTTCTCACTCATAGGTGGGAATTGAACAATGAGAACACATAGACACAGGAAGGGGAACATCACACACTGGGGACTGTTGTGGGGTGGGGGGAGGGGGGAGGGATAGCATTAGGAGATATACCTAATGCTAAATGACGAGTTAATGGGTGCAGCACACCAACATGGCACATGTATACATATGTAACAAACCTGCACGTTGTGCACATGTACCCTAAAACTTAAAGTATAATAATAATAAAATTTAAAAAAAAAGATCTTCTTCATTTTTAAAATTATTTTCATTTTGCTGTTGCCCCTCTTTCCCAAGCTCTTTCTAGTGTTCCTAGTGAGGACAGTAAGCAACAGGTCCAGGGATGGGGGAACATGTAGGCTGGAGGTCAAGCCATGGCAACCAAAATTGATCCTGTCAAGGAGCACCTTGAGAGGGAGAACAAAGCCTACAATTTCTTCCAGAACTGTAGGTCACAGATATTTATCAAGGCTGGGACATCCAGGAACATTACTGCCTTGGAAAGCAAAGTGTGTGTGTGTGTGTGTGTGTGTGTGTGTATAAGTGTGTGTATACGATATGTATATATACACACACACTCTCACACACTTTGCTTTCACTTTATATATATATAGAGAGAGAGAGAGAGAGAACCAGTGAAGAGCCACTATATATATATATATAATGTACACACACACTCACACGCACATATAAAACATACACATTCATACACATATTCACACACACACACCTGTATAGACAGAAAAACAAAGTTGTGTTTATAAAAATAATATGTGGAGGATCGCTTAATGAAACATTTTAATAGGGAATAGTTTCCCAACTCTGATAACAAAGTGAGTCTTAAGAAACAAATGTATGTGCTGAGTCCTCACTATATCCTAACATCATCAGAAAAAGATTTAGAGGTGTTGGTTCCAGAATCCCTCCCTCTTCCTGTTTTCTGGCCAGAACTGGTTTTCTAGGGGAGTTTCTCCCAGGAACAAGGTGACTTCACCAAGCTGTGCAGGATATGAAATTTCACCAACACCAAACCATGCACAAGGCATGTGTACTGCCAAACATAGAATTTCTAAAAACAATTCTCTAAGACCACTTATTACCAGCCACATAAGCTTGCCTAAGATTTTAGTTTGGAGAGCAGTAATTTATTATAGACTAGCACTAGAATTCATTTTCATATGCCAAAATGCTAATGTGAATGTGCAGAAAGAACCTTTGTCTCTAGGGGTAAAGGAGGCGGTGGATCCATTAATGTTCTTTCTTTCCTGCCCTACTTCCCTTTCATTTTCTTTTCTGCTTGGGGGTGAGTTATTTTGACATGATTATGTACTCTCATTTCTGCATTCAAATCCGCTATTCCCCACCCTTGCCTGCCAACCTCCATCTATTGAATCTACGTGTATATGTGTGTGTTTTTGTCTCTGCGTTTTCTAGCATTTATCTAAATGCTTCCCAGCACAGATCCAATGAATATGAGGCTTCTTATTCCCACTAAGCCTGACATAGGAATCCAACTTTTTTTTGGAAGAAGAACTGCTGTGTCATCTTTTTTGGTGCATGGATACTACATATTGATGCTTTGATTTAGAATATTTATTGGCACTAAGCCCATCTGTAGACAGTTTGGAACCTCAGTTTCTTTTGTGACTTTCTTGGCAGTCAGCATTCCTCCTGTTTGCTTAGAACAGGGAGGTCAGTGGATCTGGGGAGCTCTTGAAGCCTACAACATAGCCATTTCTAACACTTAGTCCAGGCTTATGTACCTGATCTGATCAGCCACAGGCAGAACAGTCATAGAGCTAACAGGTGAGGCTGCCACATCATCTAATGGCATACCCACTGCTCAGTATTCAGTCATTTCAAGTACAAATAAATGGAGTTAACCACAGATGGCACATTTAGTTCACACTATGACTATAATATTACTCGCTATTTACAGACTAGTATAGGAATAAACATGTTTACTCTGATAATTCTGAATACTAATGTAAAATCATCTTGCTATATTCACTCATGGATTGGATGGAAACACTCTGCAGAAAGTGTTATTTCATGCTATTTTGGAGATATGTATAGCTTCTCTTGCTTCCTCACTGTGGTGGGTACAATGCAAAAACCTTTGCATGCTTCTTGTCCCTAAAAAAATACAGTATATTCTGAAGCTAAACTCTATAATGTGGCAGCCACTAGCCACATGTGACCATTCACACTTAAAATAATTAAAATTAATAAAATTGAAAACTCAGTTCTTCACTTGCACTAGCTACTTTTTAAGTATTGCATAGCCCCACGTGGCTGGAGACTATCTCATTGAATAGCACATATGTAGAACATTTCCATCATTGCAAAAATTTTTATTGGAAAACAATGTAAAGTATTATTTTTTCTAAATGCAGTGTGTAGAATTGCTCCTTCTGCTTATTCAAAATGCAGATTTCTGGCCTCATTCAAGACCTACTAAATCAGAATCTCTAAGGTGTAGCCTTAAAATATGCATGTAAACAAACTTCTTAAATGTTCTTTATGTGCAATGAAGTTTCAGACTGCTTCATAGAGTATGTCCTCACATCCATTACATATTCACATACCAGTCATCAAGTGTTGCCAAATATATTCCAAATTTATTTTATTTTATTTTCAATTTTAGGTTCAGGGGTATATGTGCAGGTTTGTAATACGAGTAAATTGCATGTCACAGGTGTTTGGTTGTACTGATTATTTCATCACCCAGGTAATAAGCATAGTATCCAATAGGCAGTCTTTTCTTTTCTTTTCTTTTCCTTTCCTCTTCTCTTTTCCTCTCCTTTTCTCTTCTCTTTTCCTCTCCTCTCCTCTTTTCTCTTCTTTTCTCTCTCTCCTTCCTTCCTTCCTTTCTCCCTCCCTCCCTCCCTCTCTCTCTTTCTTTCTTTCAACAGAGTTTTGCTCTTACTGCCCAGGCTGAAGTGCAATGGCACGATCTCGGCTCACTGCATCCTCCGCCTCCCGGGTTCAAGCAATTCTCCTACCTCAGCCTCCCAAGTAGCTGGGATTACAAGTGTGCACCATCACACCTGGCTACTTTTGTATTTTTGGTAGAGACAGGGTTTCACCATGTTGGTCAGACTGGTCTCAAACTCCTGACCTCAAGTGATCCACCTGCCTTGGCCTCCCAAAATTCTGGGATTACAGGTGTGAGCCACCGTGCCCAGCCGGTAGTTTTTCAATTATCACATTTCTCCCACCCTCTACCCCTGAGTAGGCCCCAGTGTCTGTTGTTCCCTTCTTTGTGTCCATGTGTACTCATTGTTTAGCTCCCACTTGTAAGTGAGAACATGCAGTATTTTGTTTTCTGTCCTGTGTGAGTTAGCTTAGGTTAATGGCCTGAAGCTCTATCAGTGTTGCTGCAAAAAAACATGATCTCATTCTTTTTTTATGGCTTTGTAGTATTCCACGATGTATACATACCACATTTTCTTCATCCACTCTACCATTATTGGGCATTTAGGTTGTTTCACATCTTTGCTATTGTGAACAGTGCTGCAGTGAACATAAGCATGCATGTGTCTTTACAGTAGAATGATTTACATTCCTTTATGTGTATATCCAATAATGGTAGATCTAAGTTATTTGAAAAATCACCAAACTGCTTTCCACAATGACTGAATTAATTTATACTCCCACCAGCAGTATATAATTGTTCCCTTTTCTTTGCAACCTCCCCAGCATTTATTATTTCTTGACTTTTTAATAATAGCCATTCTGACTGGTGTGAGATATTATCTCGTGGTTTTTATTTACATTTCTCTAATGATCAGTGACATTGAGCTTTTTTTAATATGCCTATTGGCCACATATATGTCTTATTTTGAAAAGTATCTGTTCATGCCCTTTGCCCACTTTTTAATGGGGTTGGTTTTTGCTTTTCAATTTGTCTAAGTTTCTTATAGATTCTGGATATCAAATGTTTGTCAGATGCATACTTTGCAAATATTTACTCCCATTCTATAGGTTGTCTGTTTACTCTGTTGATAGTTTCTTACGTTTCACAGAACTTTTTAGTTTAATTAGGTCCCATTTGTCAATTTTTGTTTTGTTGCAATTTGCTTTTGGTGTCTTCGTCATGAAATCTTTGCAACGTCCTATGTCCAGAATGGTATTTCCTAGGTTGTCTTCAAGGATTTTTATAGCTTTAGGTTTTATATTTAAGTCTTCAATCTGTCTTTAGTTGATTTTTGTATATGGTGTAAAGAAGGGGTCCAGTTTCAATCTTCTGCCCCATTTATTGCATACCAGCCCCATTTGTTGGATAGGGATTCCTTTACCCATTGCTTGTTTTTGTTGACTTTGTCGAAGATCACATGATGCCTCCAGCTTTGTTTTTTGTTTTGTTTTGTTTTGTTTTCTGTTTTGTTTTGTTTCGTTTTTGCTTATGATTGCCTTGGCTGTTTGGGCTCCTTTTTGGTTCTCGTGAATTTTAAAATAGTTTTTTCTAATCCTGTGAAGAGTGTCATTGGTAGTTTGATAGGAATATCTCTGAATCTGTAAATTGCTTCGGGCAGTATGACCATTTTAACTATATTGATTCTTCCTCTTGATAAGCATGAAATGTTTTTCCATATGTTTGTGTCATCTCTGATTTCTCTGAGTTGTGCTTTGTAATTGTTGTTGTAGAGGTCTTTCACCTCCCTGGTTAGCTATATTTCTAGATATTTTATTCTTTTTGTAGCTATTGCAAATGGGATTGTGTTCTTGATTTGCCTGTCAGCTTGGATGTTGTTGGTGTATATAAATGCTACTGATGATTTGTATACATTAATTTTGTATCCTGAAACTTAGCTGAAATTATTTATCAGATAAAGTAAACTTTGGGCAGATACTATGGTGTTATCTGGATATAGAATCATATCACCTGCAAACAGAGATACTTTGACTTCCTATTTGGATACCTTTTACTTCTTCCTCTTGCCTGATGGCTCTGAGAGGACTTATAGTACTAGGTTGAGTAGGAGTGATGAGAGAGGGCATCCTTCTCTTGTTTTGGTTTTCAAAGGTGTTGCTTCCAGCTTTTGCCCATTCAGTGTAATGTTGGCTGTGGGTTTGTCATAGATGGCTCTTATTATTATGAAGTATGTTCCTTCAATGCCTAGTTTGTTGAAGGTTTTTAACACAAAGGGATGTTGACTTTTAACAAAAGCCTTTTCTGTATCTATTAAGATGATCTCTTTTTTGTTGTTTTCGTTCTGTTTTTATGACGAATAACATTTATTGATTTGTGTATGTTGAACCAACTTTGCCTCCCAGGAATAAAGCCTACTTGATCACGGTGGATTAATCTTTTGATGTGCTGCTAGATTTGGTTTGCTAGTATTTTGTTGAGGATTTTTGCATCTATGTTCATTAAGAATATTGACCTGAAGTTTTCTTTTTTTATTGTGTCTCTGCCAGGTTTTGGTATCAGGATAATTCTGGTCTCATTCTATGAGTTAGGGAGGAGTCCTTCCTCTTCAATTTTTTGGAATAGTTTCAGTAGGAATGGTGCCAGCTCTTCTTTATATATCTAGTAGAATTTGGCTGTGAATCCATCGGATCCATAGGCTTTTTCTGGTTGGTAGGCTTTTTATTACTGATCCAGTTTCAAAATCATTATTGATAAGTTTAGGGATTTAATTTTTTCTGGGTTCATCTTGGAGAGGTGTATGTTTCCAGGATATCCTAAGTATATCTTATTTAAAGTAGTTCTTTCCTTACTTATTTCTGTTTTACGTTTTCTTCTCTATTTTTTTTGAAATATATTTTTGCCATGTATTTTGGAGTCATAATGTAATTCTCATAAGGAGAGTAATTACCACATGATTTGGATGAACTGATTAGCAAGGATCTTTATTCCTCCTTGTTACCAATGATTGCAGCATTAGGGAACATAACCAGAGAAGAAAGTAATGAACATAGGAGCGCCTGAGGAAACTAACATTTCCACTGAAATCTTCTTCAACTTCAGAAATGCCCCTTTTCCTTTTTTTCAGTTCCTTTAGTATTACTATCCCTATAAGTTATGGAGAAAGACAGAATCACAGTCTCAGTGATAAAGGGACTCTTAGAAATCAGCTTCCCCTCCCTGCTTGAATTATGTCTGTACAATCACAGAATGATCATCTAGCACTGGGTCCCCACAACTTGCCTAGTCGTTAGAACCACCCTGGTACTTGGGTCTGGGCCTGGTTAGGAAGTTCCCCCAGGTGATTCTAATAATCCAAAGTATTTGAAAACCACTAATCTGGGCTAAGATTGATCACCTCCAGTGCTCCGCATATAACCTCCTTCCTGAGACTGCCTACTCAATCATTAGAGTCCTTAGAATATCCTTCCTTATATGAAGTTAAACTCATCTTGGAAGCATCTATCCACAGGTCCCAGTGCTGCTCATTAAGCATCTAAAGAATATGCCTCATTCTCTACCTGATGATGCTCCTTTCACACGACACATTTTTCTACTTAAGACAACCAACCACATTTTTCCAGAGCCTTCTTTTCCTGTGATTATGTCCTGATTATGATTTGCTTTTTTGTAAACCATTTCATTTCAGGTATGGTATTGTGTCATCTCATCATACTGGTCCTCTCTTCTGTCAAGTTTTTGGTTGGCTTGCATCTTTTTAAAATGTAGCATTCTGTGTTGGTCACTGTGTAGAAGATTAATACTGTTGAATGTAGTATTGAGACACAGAAAAAATGTAGCACTTTGAACCATTTTTCCTATCAATAAAGCCTGACTTAATTCATACCATTTAGTAGCAATATCACCATCACATCACACTTTCTGTCCACCGACATCCAGGCATCCTCCTATGTACACTGCTGTTCACCATGTCATGCTGTTCACCTAATCCCAAATATGTGTTTTGTTAATTTAATTGTTGGTTATATGTATCAATAAGTGTTCAGATGGAAATAAATAGCATTCCTTCCTCTGACCCCACCCCAAATTAGAAGGATTTTATGTGACTTTCTGCATTTTACTCAACGTTAGGATTTCAGCAGTGATATCTGTTCCTTTCTGTAACAGGTAGTACAAGCTGATCTGATCAATTCTAATATAAGTCAGTCCTGGAGGTCTTTTTCCCCTTCTTTCATTTCCTTTCCTGCAGTGTGGGATTATACATTTGCCACCCCCTGCCTGGGGACTCTGAATGAGATCTAAAGAGAGCTGGAATTTTCACCAGTGTCCTAAATCACCATTATTAAGTCCAAAGAGCACATCCTGTACAGGAAAATTGCAGCAGCATATGGGCGGCCCCTTGCACTTCATATGTTATCCATCACATTACAGAGCCCTGCCACATGTTCCTGAAGCAACCAGGGAAGAACTTGGCTCACTGCTTGCTGAGTAGGACCTCTTAATCTGTTTTACAGCAAACAGTTTTGCAATTACTGTGGGCATCATGGACCCAGCTGATATTTGAGCTTTGTCCTAACAAATCTGTGGCAGATAAACATATGACACAAAGATAGTCAACTGAAATCAATGGAAAAGGAACTAGAGAAGTGGAGAAAGTACTTTGGTTAGAAATATAGAGGTAAAAAAATGCAAATCTCTACTTACAGAGCTTTCATCTTGGCTAATTTTTATATGCATATGTATGTATATATATGTATGTATGTTTTACAGACACAGACACACACACACACACATATACACACACACACACCCTCTTGTATACATCACATTAAATACTTATCAAGTACTTGTGATAAGCCAGGCAACATGCTAGGTATTATGAAGGTAAAACATGATCAAAAATAGGGCCGAGTGCAGTGGCTCACACTTGTAATAACAGCACTTTGGGAGGCAGAGGTGGGTGGATCACCTGAAGTCAGGAGTTCGAAACCAGCCTGGCCAACATGGTGAAACCCCATCTCTACTAAAAATACAAAAAAAATTAGCCAGGCATGGTGGTGGGCGCCTGTAACCCCAACTTCTTGGGAGACTGAGGCAGAAGAATTACTTGAACCCAGGAGGTGGAGGTTGCAGTGAGCCGAGATCATGCCATTGCACTCCAGCCTGGGCAACAAGAGCAAAACTCTGTCTCAAAAAAAACAAAACAAAACAAAAAAAACAGACCTCAATACCTGCCCTCATGAGAGAGTCCAGTGAATGAGAACAGACATTAATCAAATAGTCTCAGAAATAAATGATTATAACTAGCATAATGCTTCCCAGAAGTGTCTGGTGTTATGTGGGTCTACAAGGTGAGATTTTCTCTTGGTCTGACATAAAAAAAATAAAAGACAAAAAACAAAAAACAAAAAAAACCAAAACATTCATGAAGAAATGACAGTGGAGCTGAGATCTGAAGCAGTGGATTACAAACTTTTTTATACAATATACTCCAAATATGTATATGTTTATGCATAAATTGTATACACTCCTACCTAGATGGCTATTTCAATATCTTTAAAGCATAATTTACTTTTAAGTTTAGGTAAAAGTAAGCAGAATAAAAGCTCTAAGGTTTTTTTCCAGTCCCCAAAAGAATTGTCTCATATTCCTCAAAGAATGCTCACATCCTACTTTGGAGACCTCTTTGAGGTTATCAATAAAATGACTAAGCAAAATGAGTAGGGATGGGGGAAGGATATGTGTGAAGGCCTTGGAGAAGAAGGGAGCAAGGTGTGCTTGAAAAGCTGAAAAGAGCCCAGTGGAGCTGAATGCAGATGGGAGGGAGGGCATGCCTTTAGGTGAGGCTAAAGAATTTAGGTTACAGACCAGGCAGGGCATTGTAGAACCCAGTAAAGTCTTAGAGCATTAACCTAAAACGAATGGCAAGCTGTGAAATGTTTAATCAGTGGGTTAGAAGATTCCATTTGAGTCTTAAAAGCGTTATTGTATCTTATTGTGGAGAATGGATTTTCAGAGCTCATGTTAAATCTTGGGCAACTGATTTTGCTTAAGGTGAATTAAACTTTATGGGAATATTATTTGTGTTCCAACTTTTGTTATTAAAAATGCTTTTCTAAGTTAGTCAAGGTACATAGTGTACCAAGTAGCATAATGAGCATAATTAAATCTTTGGTCTTGCAGCTCCTCAAGACAGGCCAATAGATATTTGTGATTAATAATTATCCTGACAAGGCCCATGATCATCATTCTGAATCACGTTTCTTTTAGCATATTGCTTTATTGTCTAAAAATATATAACAAAACAGCAGGAAAGCACTTTACTTGGAACAACTCCGTTAATTCTCACAACCACTCCATGAGGTACATAGGCTCAGGATAACTCTCATGTTGCTTATGTCATAGACTATTGTTACAAATTATTCTATATGAAATATTTTGGGAGATTGTCAATTTTTTTGAATAAATAAACACAGATTTAGAATGCTTAGTTCACTAGAGCTAGAGTTGCTTGGTTGGTTTTGATGCCCTAAAACCAATATTTTTTACAATAATTTTATATAAAATAATTTCTTTATAAAACTTATCTTTTTCTACTTTCTTTTATTTACCTAGCAAATCTATTACATCTCATTTGCTAAGGCAATAAATGAGTAGTTGCTAAGTACTGTAGATATTGTAATTTAAGCTTAAGTGAAAGCCAAAGAGTTAAAACTATGTTTTAATTTTTTTTTACAAGATTGAATTAAAAGATTTCTAAGTAAAGTGTTTCGTGCCCCTAGAACAATTTCTGAACCCTAAAGAAAAAGTGAGAGACGATCTAATTGATCTAATGCCAATTCTTCTTTAAATAATATGAGGACACATAGTTTTCCACGAATTTGTGAGATATGTGTGGTCTTTCCAGCCCTGAAACTATTTTTATCCTTGTTGAGTTCTTTTGCCTAGTCAGTTTACTAAAGAGATAGCACAGTTTGATAAGTCATCTTTTCTTAAGAAAAAGCAAGCTCTCCATAGCATGTGGCATAATTTAAAGCCATTATTCAGGAGAAACCCTGCAAAGCTGAGCTCCTAAATATGGAATCACTTTCATTTTCCTACAGTCAGCTTGAATCATGGATGTCACGTAGGTGTAGTCTGAGAAATCCCTTGCATTTCTCAGATGTTCTAGAGTGAGCCAAAAGATAATAGGGGGGCTCCAACTTTAGAGGAACTTGAGTAGAGCATGAAATCAAACTCGAAGAAATTTTGTAATGGCACACATAGTGTTTCTAAGCATTCAGTTGTTTTTCTTTTTTGAGGCAAATTTTTTCAGTTTATACTTTCATTCTACTAGTATATTCTTAATATAGATATTTTTGAGAGGATAAGAGATAGCTTTTAAAATTATTTAAATATAGAAAGCAAACATTGAGAGTATTTTGACACCTCAATTCTAATCTCCTTTTGAGTATTTTTTATATATTTGTATAGCTGAGACCATACACAGAAGCTCTTCTTTAATAAAGACATTGTTTATGCTCTTCACAGTGTGTAAGTAATGATTAGTGAAATAGAGACCTGATTTTAGTTCTCATTTTCTACTGGTCTGTTTATAACTTTAGATCAGTTGTGTGTGTGTACATATTTCTAACAAATTTTATTTGAGCCTTATTTTTCTGCTTTGTGTACATTGAATCTGATGAGCTTTGGATTTCTTATACATCCCAACTCACATGATCTTCTTTCATTTCAATTACTGCCATAAGAATTTAATCTGCATAAAAACATCAACCATGTGATTTCTCTCCCCATGTATCTATGAGCCTGGCACATAGATGTTGCTCATTAAATATTTATTAATCAATTAATTGTTACAATAAATGTCCTAAGTGGAGAGAACAAATGAATAGTCTTTCTAAATTATACAAGCTCAATTTAGTACACTTAAGTGCAGTGAAAAGTGGCCGAGGCAGTGCAGTGTCATGATTAACAGTACAGGCAGTGAAACCAGATTGCTTGGATGTGCACCCCAGCTCCACCACTGACTAGCTGTGTGACTTTCTGCACATTCCTTAGCTTTTAAACTACTTTTTAGATATTAAAGCATGGGTACCGATTGCAGATAAATTTTAGGTGATTATCAGAAATGAATGCGTTTGTACGTGGAAAGCACCTAGAAGGGTGCCCGGCACATAGTATGCCCTCAGTGTGTTTTCTGTCTATTAATAGTAGAGTGTATTGCAAGACTAGGGATGAGAAAAAGCCCCAAAATATCTTGGCATTTACAACGTTTAAAGCCTAAAACTAAAATAATAATGTATGCCTCAAGAGTTTATGTCAGACCTGATCAGAAGCAGAAACAAAACCATCTTAGTACAGAAGAATTTGCTTAGACTGCAGGTAAGGAATAAGTTAGGTAGGCCTGAGGTCAAGACCAGATAGATCAGATAAATTTAAAAGGTAAAAAGAAAACACTGGAGACAAATATAAGTACATTCTTATTATTTTGTTCTCCAACTAATTGCTGGTCTCATTGTGGCTGGAGTCTTGTGTCACTTTTGGGTGTCTCATTTAAAAAGAAACATGTGCCTAGTCAACCCTCTTCGTGTATTGAGAAGCAAGTGGCTACCAGAGTTTGTGGAGTGGCGAGCACAGGGTTCTATGGACTGCATTATAATGAAGAAGTGACAGAGAGTTGAGGACCTGCTCCTTTGAGGAAAGTTGGTCAAGTTCCTGGGTTTTGGTCTTTACGGACAAGTCCAGCGACATGCCAAGTATCGTGTTCACTCAAGGTTCAATAGCAATGTCAGATTTCCCTGGCTCTCCTCCACCCTGCTCCTACCTCCAATTCTTAGCGACTTGAGGGAAGAGAAGGAGCTCATGCATGGACGAGCCATAATAGATATTTTTGTATTTAAAAAGCAGAAGCATTTTCAGAAAGGTATCTGGCCTCCCTGTTTAGAGTAGTACATTATATGTTCACTCACCACAACAATCTCCCTCTGATCTCTAGGCCTCTGAATATATTATTTTCCTTGTTGGGACACTCATTCCTGCTTCTTGTACTGGGTTAACCTCTACACATTCTTAAAAGTTCGGCTCACATGTTGTCATCCCCAGAAAACCTCTTCTTACTATGTCCTTTCCATGACTGCTCAGATTGAGATACATAAATGTCCCTTTTCTGTAACCCAGGGCACTCTGTGCATCATTTCTCTCATGGTCATAAATTCTATCACTTTTCTGTTTTCCTCATTTAAAGTAAGATTCTTCATACCAATGACTGAATTTCTGCTGTGTATCCTAGGGGTTTATCTTTGCTTAATATAAGAAAGGATTTTGAAATAATAGGGTTTAAAATGGGCTGTGGCAAACAGTTCTATAAGCACAAGTTCAGAATGGAAAACAGGGAGTGGCTATGTCCCCTCCCTCATCTGAGATTCTGTGAAATGTCTCATCCAATTCTTAAAACGGATCCAGTAAGGCACCACCTGGGAACACTATTATTAGCCAAAGATAGTTTACTTTGCATATGCTAAGAGTGAAATGACATTTCTATAATATATTTAGCAATTTAGATTTTTGCCTATTCAGCAGGTTTTTCTTCTTTCTAAATTAGTAGTTTTTATTATGCCATTACATCCTCATAATTTTGTATTTACTGTTTTAAAACTTGCTTCTAACATTTCAGGGTCAAGTTAAAACTGCTTGTCCTCTCATAGGGCATTTTCCAGCCCTTCAGGTGGGTAGCTGTATTTCTTGTTTCACTGCATCTTGATAACCCTGACTCCTATCACTGCGCATCACTTACCAAACTCTTCCTTGGCCCTCAGCCCCATTCAGACTTCAACTCCTTTTCCCCACTCTAGCTTTTTCTCTGGCCAGCCTTTTATTATTGATAATAGAAACATCATTTTCACTTTTCTTTCTGCTGCTGTGTAGTTGATATTTGAATGATTTCACCTGAAGCAGACATTTATTATAAAAATGCCACAATCATAACCCCCTATTCTGAAACTTTTGAAAGTTTCTTTAAACCAAGTGTCTAAGGATGTTTAAATCTACAGGCATAGGTGTTAGAGACAATTATTAGACAATAGCTAAGATCCATGAGAGGGGAGAATAGCTATTTTATGAATAAAGAACTATTTGCATGACTAAAGAACTTCCACTTTATGAATTAAAGCAAAAATATTTGGTGACTTAAGTAAACCCTAGGCCTTGATTTCTTGTGTTAGTTTAAATGAAAGTGATGATTAAACTCAGGCCCCTGCTGTGAAAAGCAAGTGTATTAAATTCTAACATTCATGAGGTCAGAAGACTGTAATTTACTAATTAAAACACACTAAATGGCTTTAATGAAGTCCACATACTTTTGAATCAGCTTTGTACATTCTGTTCCACATTCTGTAAGTCATCTAATAATTGAACTTGTTATTTGCAGTCAGATTAATGAATGTAGTTATTGCTTTTAACTTACATAACCTGAGTAATATTCAATGCTACAGTTAGAAAGATATTTGCTATTTCAACAACATATATTTTTTGGTACGGGTAAGGATATACAAGGGGTGTTCATATATCTCTCAGCTGCTGAAGTCAGTATGTGTATAAGAAATGCTTCCAGTCACTCATAGAGCCTTTTATGAAAGATATTTATTCAAGAGCTCCATCAAAAAAGAAGTACATCACCATTACAACAAAGTCTCCTTCCTTGAGATCTTGCGGAGTAACAGTACATATTCAGATAAATGAACCATTGAATGCTGTCTGTAATAGCAACAGCTGGCACCTCTCAGATAACGCTGAGCTGCCCAGCCCCCAAAAGATCAGAAAATAGGCAACAACTAAGTAGAATTTTTATAGATCTGAAATCTGCTGAATACCCATTGAAAGAGAGCAAAATGTGCATTAGACCTCGCTGACAAATGCCCAAGGTTCAATCTCTCAAACGGTTTTGCAAACTAACAAAAACAGGAGTGAAAGGGATTATCTCCATCCTCAAATTTTCAACATGGTCAAAGGGACTGTAAAATCCTTCTGGTGAGCAAGCCAGGTTTAATGGTCAGGAACAAATGCTTCTTTAGTCACAGGGCAAGCCTTTTGGATTTGTAATTTCCTGTTAGGGACAGCAAAGGCAGTGCACACCCTCCACTCCTACTCTGCTCTGCTTTCCAGCCTTCTTCCCCATATTGTTTTTCCTTCTTTTTTTCTTTCCCTTTTTTTCTAGTGAAAATCTAACTATACTGCAGGGTCTCCTGGAGTCTGCACATTGAGGGCATGAGGGCCATACTGTGAACTGTTCACCACCATTCTGCACATGAACCCTCTCTCTAGAGAAGTAAATATGTACTCAAACCGCTAACTGTAAACATAATTGGTGACTAGTGGAAGGTTGAACGAAGCGCTAACAACAGCTCATTAAAGGCTGAATAGATGATCTTGTGCAATCAGTTGCTCTGTGGCTGTGCCCCAGCATAGCAGTGGGCCTCCTATTATAACTAGTCTTTTCATAGCCTGTGCCATTTTCTCTATTGACTTCTGTGATTGCAGATAGCAGAGAGTAGGTGCTGTTGTCCAAAATCAGTAGTTTGTTAAATGCAAACTACTGACATTCTTTTGAAACATAGTGGGGACTATTGTCCAATATTGTTACTGATTTATTCTGAATCTGCAATAGGCCCCTCTCTGTTTACCAATCACATGTTAAATTACTCTGACAGATGCATTTTAAAAAGCGACTAAATTTAGTCTGAGGTTACATGGAACAAAGATGTTGGATGGCTTATCATTAGCTTCTGGTGTCATTAACTCACTGGAACTTATATATCTATGAATTTCCCACAGGACTAGAAACTGCCTTGAACTTATTACGGGTTCAATATCTACTTCTCTACTTCTTGATCACTGGTTTGTGCCCCCAAACAACTTTTATTTGCTATTGGATATGACTATAAAAGTAATATGAGGAATGTCCTTTATGTTGTAGCAACATGTCGAGTTTTTGCTTCAAAATACAGGAAAACAAAGACAAATTTCTTGTATTGCCTCTCACTCTGCTGATTTGAGCTCTTTGCTAGTAATCATAATCTAGAGGAGGTGAGCAGGAGTCACCTGTGTGACATTATATAAGTGTTAATACTGGTTTGCAAAATGATTATTTCTTTTAAAAGGACATCCACTAAATGATTAATTTGTGTGAATAAATAATTAATGAATCAAATAAAATCCTCTGTTCTTTCTTCCTTCTGTTGTTGTTGCTGTTATTTTAACTAACCTCTGAGAGAACAAATGCAAATTGGATAACATTCCTCATGAATTAAAAAAAAAAAAAGCACATGTTTTTGTAGAACAAGCAAATTAAGAAGTAGATATGATAAAGGAAAAATATTTAAACATAGCACAAACCTCCACAATAGTGTTTTGAAGTCTTGCTATAGAATTAGGTCAACTCTGGGAATAATTTCTAAGGACAAAAAAATTGTATATATTAGTTTTATTCATATTAAGTGAAAGAATAAGGAAGAGTTAGACCCAGACGAAAAGAATGGTATCACATTTTTCCTATTTTGCAATTGTCAGCTGGGTAAAGGAGAAAGATTTCAAGATTGCAAAAGATGAAGCTCAAAACATAGAAATCATGACACCATCTGACTAACTTAAGTGAGGTCAATTGCTGTTGGCCAGGTGAAATATGCCCCACTGCCTGCTGATAAAATCAATGACACTTACTTGGGATTTTTTGAAAGATCAAGGATAATGGACCCGAGGACTAAATATGGGAAAATTCAGCCCTAGTTTTGTAAAAAGAGTAAGGAGTTGGATGTTCTAACCATAAAATGTAGGGCCTGTTGTCAATTCTTGAAAAATATTATAGACAAAATTGCTAACTTGATTGTGAGAAAAGAAAGTGGTGATCACCATGAACCAGGATAGAGTCACCAAAAATTATGTTATGTGAAATTAAACTTATACTTTCTTGACCATTTTAAAAGACTATTAATTAGAAGAATGGAGTAGCAAAATATTGGAGAATATATGCCATGATACCATTGATGACAGACAGAGAACAATGAATAGAATGTTAATAAAGCTGAGTTTACCTGGAGGAAATTTCTTAAGGCATGTTATAAGGATCAATGTTTCTGTCAATGGATTGTATGGGAATATTAAACACAGAGATGATGTGTGTAACAGGAATGTGGATAAGCACATCACATGCTGAATAGGAGACTTGAAATTTTAAGTTTTCAGGAATTTAGAATAATGACAAATAGAACGTATGTCAAGCTTAGCATAGGTATGTGTAAAAAAATTGGCTTTTGAGTTGACTGCAATTTCAGCTCAAATCAATAGTCTGACATAGTTATGTCAACAATAAAGAGAACTTTAAGTTGTAGTAGAATTAAGGAAGATGATGATCCAACTTGACCCTTCTTAACCATGAAATCCTGGGACCCCCAGTTTGTAAGGACACTTAAATGTCATCTTGCTCATTTTGTTTATGGTTAATATAACCAACTATATTTCTGATAAGTAGTGTTCGAGTCCTTGAATATCATAAAAACAGGTCATTCCATTTTTATTTCTTAAAAAATGTGAAAAATATCTTATTTTAGGTCCAAATTGATCTGCCTACAACTTTTACCAAATTGATATGATTCTGTTTCCTTGAACCACACAGAACAGTCCTAACCCATCTTCTATTTGACAATCCTTTAGTTATCTGATAATCACCTCATTATCCTAATCAGATGGTATTTCCCTGCAAAATATACACTATCATGTCAACATCTTCTCTCAACATCTTCTTTTTTGTTAGTATTACTGTTTATTCATGCAACACAAAGTTACTGTTTCTAATTGGTGTGCTGGTATGGTGATAGCAAAAGTAGATTTTTTTTCTCTGCTCTCAAAGAGGCACTTTTTCTAAAAGGTGTCAACAAATATTATTGACTCATATTGAGCTTTTTGTCAACTAAAATCTCTAAGGCTCCTTTTGCTTTTTAAGTAATAGCAGCTGCTAAGCCATGTCTCACCTACTTTAGTCATGCTAATAGCTCTGTTCCAAGCCCAATTTTAAAAGTAGCAAAGAGCTGAATCAAAGGTACGAAATAGAAATCTTTGAAAGAAACAAGGACATTCAAAGCCTGGGGATAACATGAGCTGATGCCATACATGACAAGATATAACTGACAGGAGATACATGTTTTATAGGGTACTTGGGTGGAGTCAGGCTTTATAGGCCAATACAGATCAGAAAGCAGGAAGAGTCACTACTGAATAAAGCTAGAACTTTAAAAAGCCTGCTCCCTAGAAGAAGGGAGCCATGAAACTTTTGCTAATTGGAGCAAAAGTCAACACTAAAGTTTGCCACCTAGCCAGGCCTCAGTGGGAAAAAAAATTCTTGTGTGAAATTGAAACCAAGACTGCACTGACTTAAATAATTCATAATTTTAAAATGGAGACAATGTAGCAATAAAGATTATAAATACTAAGTGATTATAATATAAAAGAAGTTTATTTTTAAAACTAACAAATAAAATTTCTTGAAATAAAAACTGTAGTCAATACAATTAAAAAATCTATGCAAAAATTCAACTACAGATTAGACACAGCTGAAAGTAAAATTAATAAACTGGAAGTTGTATCTGCGAAAGTCATATAAAATGTAGCAAATCAAAATAAAGGCATATTAAATATTCAATGAGTAATATTCCTATATATTTTTATATATTCTATAAAAGATACAATGTATGATGGTTAATTTATGGTGTCTATTTGGCTAGGCTACAGTATTTAGTTGCTTGGTTAAACACCAGTCCAGATATTGCTGTGAAGGTATTTTTTGGGGGGGATCTGATTAACATTTAAATCAGTAGACTTTGAATAAAATAGATCACCCTTGGACCTCATTCAATCAGTTGAGGCCTTAACAGAAAAGACTGAGGTCCTCCAAAGAAGGAATTCTGCTTCCAGACTGCCTTTGGACTCACAACTACAGCATTAATGCCTGCTGGAATTTTTAGACTGTTGGCCTCATCTGCAAATTTTAGACTTGCCAGACAGCACAATGGTGTGGGTCAATATTTAAAATCAATCTCTCTCTCTCTCTCTTTCCATATATAAATATATAAGCTATTAGTTCTGGTTCTCTGGTTCTCTGGAAAACTGTGACTAATACAAAATGGGAATTCCAAAAATGGCCTGATAGAATTTTCAAAAAAAGAAAATAGATAAAATGGGGAAGAAAAAATATTCAAAATGATAAAGAACAAGAAGGTCTTAAGATTCAAATAGAAAAAGTCTATTTGCGAAATAAACAAAAGCAAATTTCCACAAAGCCACCTTGTAGATAAACTAAAGATCACCAAAGAAAAAGCGATAATATTAAAATCAATCAAACAAAATTAAGACAGAATACTTAAAAAGAAATATCAATTCAGTTTATGTGTCATCAGCAACAATATAGACCAGAAGACAGTGGAGGATTATCTTCAATGTGATGAAATTAAACAAATTTTCTACAGTTCTATAACCAACTATATTATTTTACATAATTAGTTCAACTGAGCCTATGTGTTTGTATGTGAATAGATATAGAAAAAATTTTAAACTATAGTCATACCTAGAACATAGAAAGTTTGAAACAAACAAAAGCACCCGGGAAATTTGAATTAAAAGTAAGATGTAATAAAAAACAAAATAGACTTTCATCAACAGAATATAATAAATCTGAAGTGAAATGTAGCCAAATGAAAACTTTAAATTATATCCAAATACATTTGACCAGGTTAATAAAAAAACACTGACAAATATAAACATAGTGGAAAATTTAATGTACCTTCACTTAAAACTTGTAGATGCAGAATACAAAAAAAAAAAAAAGTAAGGTGATGATATAGAGTATTTTATTTTGTTTTGTATTGAGACAGGATCTTACTCTGTCACCCAGGCTGGAATGTAGTGGCACCTTCATGGCTTACTGCTGCCTCATCCTCCTGGACTCAGATGATCATATCACCTCAGCTCCCCAAGTAGCTGGGACCTTTGGCATGCACCACCATGCCCAGCTAATTTTTAAATTTTTTGTAGTGACAAGGTCTCACTATATTACCCAGGCTGGTCACAAGCAATCCTCTCGCATTGGTCTCCCAAAGTTCTAGAATCCCAGACATGAACCATTGCACCCAGCCTAATATAAAGTATTTGAACAACAGAGTTAATGAGCTTAAGTGGAAGCATATATAAAGCCCTGCACAAAGCAATTGGAAAATATATATTCTTTTCAAGAAGGAATGGTTCATTTAAAAAAAATGACCACATAAAATGTCTCAAAAGTAACTGATAAAAATGCAATGACTTCCCCACTTCCAAATTTTATCTGCCTGGAATCTAAAAAACACAGTTTAAATATAGAATTCGTCAGAGCAAAATTTATCATCAAAAACTTGGAATATTTAGACTTCATGAAAACACTTTATACCAAATGTTTTAGTATGGCACTAAAGAGAGTCTAGAAGGAAATTCTAGCAATATTACAAATAAATATATTTTTAAAATAAGATTGAAAATTGATCAGCCTAGTATTTAGTTATAGAAAGTAGCAAAGGAGGAGGGAAGCTAACCTAAATAAGTGGAAGGAAATAAACGACAAGGCAACACATTTATGAAATAAGTAATAAGAAAACAATAGAGAAGATAAACAAATTCAGAAGCTACTTTTTTGAAAAGCTAATAAAATAGGAAACATACACAATGAATAATCAAGTAAAACAAAGACAAGGCAGGAAAATCACTGCTAGGTGAAAGGGGTCATAGTTAAAATACAGTAGACTTTTAATTTTGTGAATATATAGTAGATGTATACATTTATGGGGTAATGAGATATTTTAATACAAGCATACAGTGTGAAATAAGCACATTATGGAGAACAGCGTATTCATCCCCTCAAACATCTACCCTTTGAGTTACCAATAATCCAATTACACTCTAAGTTATTTTAAGATGTACAATTAGTTATTATTGACTATAGTCACCCTGTTGTGCTATTAAGTAGTAGGTCTTATTAATTCTTTCTATTTTTGTGCCCATTTAGTAGAAATTTTAAAACATAAGAGTGTCAAATAAACAACTCTATGCAAACATATTTGAAAACAGATAAAATGGATATTTTTAGAAAAAAATGGCAAAACTGATACATGATGAAATGAGAAAATTTTTTTAATCATTTTTTAATCACGTTATTCAGAAAGTGGTCAATAGGAACTATGCCTGTAAGGCGTTTCTAACTTACTGAAAAGGCAAAAAGGAACACTTGGAGGGAATACGAATGCTATCCAATATCCATGCTTAAATGTTATATCATGTTGGACAAACAATAAATACATTATATAGATATAATGTAGTTATATATTATAGATAATATATTTTTATATATAATAAGTTATATTGTATATAACTACATAATGTTAAACTTTGGAAAAAAATTAAAACACCAGTTCCTCAGGTGAACCCTATCCTGAAATAACAGCACAGGATATGAACGAGGACACAAACTTTGTGAAAAGTTGTGGTTCAGCCATCGTAATGTAGCAGCCTAAAGGGCTGATATCACCTTCAATCTGCCTTAATAAAAAAGTAGCACCCGAATTTGTTGTTATTCAGATGAAACCTGATGTTTCTATTCTACTGTGAATATCACTCTGTAACAGGCCATAGTCAAATTGGAATATATTCTAAGGAGAATGACTAAAATGATGAGAGGATTTTAAACTATGTTTTAAGTCATGAGCTGTCTTCAACTATCTGAAGGGATAACATGCAGAATAATTAAATATGTATAATATGGTCCCTAAAAAGAAAACTAAGATCAATGTATGAAAATTATAAATGAATGGTCTGTCATTATGTTGAGCTAACATTCTAGCAGTTGGATCTGTCCCAACATGGAATGACTTATGGCTGGAGATTATAACCTTCTTAACTCCGGAATTGCACCTGCACAGGCTGGATGGTCACTTAGTTAGGAGTAACAGAGGGGACAAAAACAGCAGATTACAGGTGGAACAAGATGTCTTTTGGAGTTTAATTTTGTGAACATAAAAACTATACTTTCTGGGTTTGCCTAGGTGGGTCATTCCTGGGAAACAGTGTCAGTCATCCCATGTAAATTTATGATTTGCCTAGGCAAATGCAAAATAAATCTCTAGCCACCCTTTGCAATTAACAACTTTTCAATGTCTGGAATGAATACACTGAACTCCTACAGCAGGCGGGTGTGGGGTGTCCAAAAAAATAAACTACTTCAGTCATTAGTGTCCATGCTATAAGTGTTTAAATCCTGAAGAATTAATTTAGTCATAACCAATTCACCTACCGCTATACTATACTCGTGAGCATGATTTGCCTCACTGAGGAAATCCAGATTGTAGTTTGGATGTTATAGTGCACTGCCCAGATCCCCTTTTCAGGTCAGGGAACTGACTCATCAGCTGCTGCTAATGTTGATACATTACCCTTGACCAATTTCCTCGCTTGGCATTGCTTTCAACAAAAGACAATCACTTGCCTAAGTCATATTCTTTCCTTGAGGATAGTCCACAACCAATGATAGTCTGATAAAGTATTTAAAAACTCCCTGGCCCAAAGGTTGTATGATTCTGAAAGGCCATTTTAGCTCCGGAGCTCTCACAAGCAAATCTTTGTCTCTGAGGCTGTTTCCTGGGGAATCTGAGATTGAAAAATAGTGTGATTTCTTATGTCATCAGGGCTCCTTTTTGTGGCATGTACACTAGGCTGACCCACACAATCACATGATGACTCCCAGGTGCCATGATTCCATTGCTATAGTCATTCAAAAGTGTTAAAGAGGACCTGAGACCTAGGACCTAAGACCTTTCCTGCCACATTCTGTAATTTAACTTGGGATTTGGGGGAGGAGGTAGAAACGAAAATCGCAGAGTATAATGGAAATGGAGGAGAGGGAGAAGAAAGGTGAAACAAAAGTCTGAGAATGTGCTACTTTTTTTTTCTAGGTATAATTACATTTTCACCTTTCTCTACTAAGGTACATCTTTCTGAAGCAATCCCCCCTCCATTTCTTCTCACTCTTCTCCGCATCCCCTTCTTTGCATGTCTCTTCCAATTGTCCAAAAATAGAGGCAGTAGATCACAGATGTATGAGGTGCAATGCAGAGAACACTATTTATAATCAGCAGGTCTGGATATGTATCTTCACTCCGTCACTTACCGTAAATACATCTTTATATAAAATATATATAGTTTCAAGTAACCTATAAATAAAATTTAGTCCCTTGGCAGTCAATGCAGATGAGACATTTTTAGTGGAAGGAATAGGCCTTAAGTCATCAATTCTAACACAGTGGGCAATGGCATTTTCTTTCTAGATACAAGGATGCCTTAGTGCTTAAGCTAGCTCTGGTGGGTATTATTTTCATAATTCTTCCATTTAGGCCATTATAAGTCCCTTTTAGTCAAACCGTAGCCTACAGAGAAAACCACTGATCTTTTATCCTTCTCCCTCTTCTTTTCTTCCTATTCTTCTTTTCCAGAAACCTGAATTTCCTTTGGGTTGGTTTAAACATTTTTCCCTCTATAATTTTACTTTCTTAAAATTGTGACCATTTCAGAAAATGAATCTCAGATACTCATTTTATCTGTATCAGTTAATATGCACCCTTGAGCAGATACATATTGTGGATAAAGCTTCGTGAATGTTAGTGTGCTGTGAATTGATTACTACCTATTGCCTTAAAATATCAATGTTGTTGCATTTTGCTGCCATCATATAACAAATATGAATTATATTTCCCACCTTTTTAATTCAATTTACTTGATCTAGAGCTTCAGAGGGATTACTGAATGTTAGTTTTTCAAACTGCTTAAGCACTTTATTTTTCTAAGATGATCCAGTTATTCTGGCCAATTCAGAACAAGATTAATCTTCCACCACCGTCACTTGGGTGTGGGATCTCATCGCGTTTAAATAATTGTAATCATGAAAATAAATTCAGTTAATGGTTTGACTTTCTGTATAAAAAGCAATCATGTGATTGTCCATTCATGTGTCTGTTAAAATATGGCCCCATAAAAAAAAACAAGTCTGGTGTCTCTAGAATCGAAGATTAATTTTAGAAACACTGTCACCTGGTGGTTTGTTAGAGTTATTGCACTTGGCTTTTCTTCAAGTTTTTCGATGTCCATGTTTAGAGAATAAATCCACATCTAAGAAATTATACACCACATCTTAATTTACTAAGTGTATTTCAGAGTCAGAACTACATAAACCCTTTCTGTCATGCCATAAGACTTTAAGATTATAGGACCTAAGACCATTTCTTATTTTGAGAGGTCTAACCTAGTGTTCAGGGACCATTTGTGTCTACCCTTTTGTGTCTTTTATCACATGCATTTGTAACTTGCAGAAATTTGAAGGGATCTTGGTAACATTTTGGACTAATAAAACCATCTCTGCTTATTATGCCCCTTTGCTAGTTTGTGAAAAGTAGGCCATAAATTCTACAAGAACCACAGACAAGATACTGTAACCCCATAGAAAACTCTGTCTACAGGGACAATGCTCCCCTCTCTATACTGAAATGAGTCATAGAGTGCCTGGCTAGCAAAAGAACAGAGAGCAGTTTGTTGTCTCTAGCTGCATCTTTCCCATTCCCCCAAAGCAGGCATCACGAGAAGCATTACAGGTCTAAAAATAAGCCTCATGTGTGCTATAATATATTGATCTGGATATGCCTTTAAGGAGGAAAATAAAGGCCCCTAGGTTGACGATGAAAGACTTAGGCAATACAACTTGCAATGAATCTGGCAGCATCTACTTGGCAATTAACTAGCTCATTTGACCAATGAAGATAGCAAATCCAAACATTTCAGACCACTGTATCTGTTGTGGGGATGAAGAGATACGGTTAAAATTTTGAAGACAGAATTTAGTCTTTACCTTCTGCTGTGAGATTCATTTATGGCAGTAAAAACAATCATTTGCCAACTTCATTGATGTCATAATGAAGAACTCCAGGTTGGCCTCAGAAACCTTGGTCCTCTAATTGGTGGAGATTCATGTTTAATGTCAGAACAGAATATTTTGTGGTCTTAAAAGCTTCTGATCAAAATAAGTTTAAAGGCAAAGAGTCATCCTTTCAAAATTGGGCCCATGCTTTCCATGGTGCAGAATAGTTGCTCTTTTGTGAGAATGTACTTGGTAAAAGTCAGGATACTACAACTTTCTTTGACTCTTCAGGCCTAAAAATTTAAAAGTACTGTTACCTTTCACAGCAGAATTATGAGCAGATTCCTAATAAGGCAAGTTTCAGCCCTTTAAAGACCCTCCTGATAATGTATATTATATATACTTATACACATTATATACATATGTAATGTGCATATGCATTATATATTATATATGTATATAATGCTCAATGTATAATTTTAGTAGACAGTGCAAATTTCTGGATCACTATTATGATCACCATAGTCTCTGGTGGATTCTTACTGAAAATGACTCAACAACAACCATAGATTGCTTTGGCTGCCACCTGCCAATGAATTCAATAATATTAAACCAAGCTAAAATGGAAAAAAAAAAAAGTCAATTTACGTAAGGTAAGACTTCAGCAACTAGAGCCATTACTCTGTAGCACATTTCTTTGGCAATGCATGAAATTAAATTAAACAGAAAATAAGAACATATTGATTTTTCTATAAATTAAATACATGCTTCTGAAAGTGTTTTATCTTCACTTTGTGACTGATCCCTACTCATTGCTGCATCTACTGAGACCTCCAGACTGGAACCCACAGCGCCATCCTGAATGCTGCTCCTAGAATCCAAGCAAAAGTTGTATTGCCATGGCATCTCTGACAACAGTCCCTAAAAGAGACACTGTCCGCATTGCTGAAAAGTTGTATCTTTTAGAATAGAGATCAATTGCGTCAATCTTTAGAAAATTGCTTAAGGTTGATTAACTTTTATTTATTTATAAAAATTGTATTTCTACTATTTCCCTAATATTTAAAATAGAAAGTTGATGCCAAATTTTATAACTGAAAGAAAATATCCACAATTGACTGAGAGAGAAACAGTTGAGGATTGAATTATGAATTATGTTTCATATGTCTTTAATTTTAACACAAGTTGTGTAGAATAGGAGCTCAATGAATGTTTGTTGAATGACTAAAAGCCGCATAATTTTTAGCTTGTGTGACATAATAATAATTTGCAAGCCCTGTTGGAATAATTTGATTCTTTACAACTTTGATGTTCAAAGTGCAGTCCTTGTTCATTAGTTGAGAACTTGTGAGAAATATGGAATCTCAAGACCTACCACTGACCTACTATACTAGAATCTGCTTTGTAACTAGATTCCTAGGTGATCTGTATGTGAACAACACTGCTTCTAAATAAGTCCTATTCTTGTATTAGGCTGGTCAGGCTTTGTTTTCCTTAGCTCTTGCCCTTTGAACATATTTCTTAGTTTTCTGTTGATTCCTATGGCATCCTTAAGTGAAATGGGCAGAGAGGACCTGTTTATATTCATTGCCAATAGGCAAAAACAAAAACACACCCTCCCCTTTTTGTGGGTATTCATTATCCTTTGATAAGGCCATCATTATCTAGGTTAATATCAGCCTGATCTTCTCTAACACAAAGCACAATGGTCTCATCTCTAGAATACAAAATATTTCATTTTACAAGTATTCAAGATTTTTCTGTCTTGATTCAAACTCTAATGAAGATCAATCAATAATTTCAGAATAAATTGATTAGCTGGGGTAGCCATAAAAACAAATCAGTTTAAGCCTTGTGATTATTTTTCAGCATTAAAGATTATGTTTCACTATTTCTCAAAGGATGTATATGTTATATGTAAATCCATTGGAAGGATAAAGGAAAAAGTAACTAGTGTAAGTTTCTTAATATTTCCATGTAATGATCCAAAATTGATACTTTTGGTTAGTCTTAGCATCCATATTATTGACAAATGAAATGTTTATTACTTGTTAAAATAAAACTCAGTATAGTTTAGTTAATTACATTGGAAGTTTGGAAATAGGTGTAGTGAGTTGAATGATTACTAACTCCCCCCTTGCAAAGATGTCCACCTGGATCCTCAAAATATAACTAAATTTGGCACAAGGGCCTTGGCTGATGTAATTAAGATAGGCATCTCAAAATGAGATCATCCTGGATTAGGGTGGGCCTAATCCAGACCCAATGACAAGTGTCTATATAAGAGACAGAAAAAAAAATAAAAAGAAGAAGACAGAGAGACACTGGGAAGAAGGCCACCTGAAGAATCCAGCAGCAATTGGAATGCTATGTCTGTACACCAGGAACACCAAGGATCGCCAGCTGCTATCGGAAGCCAGAAAAGACAAAGAAGGATTCTTCCCTAAAACCTTTAGAACCTTGCCAAAACCTTGGTTTTGGATTTCTGGCCTTGATATTTTTGAGAAAACAAATTTCTCTTGTTTTAAGCCACCAAGTTTGTGGTATTTTTTATGGCAGTCCCTAGGAAACTAATGTAATGAGCTAAATAAACTCATTGTTTGGTGGTGTGGTGATTGAATGAGTGACTTTGACATTATGATATTCTTACTTGGTACCATAGCACCCTTACATTACTTCATATATTATACTCTGATCTTCCTTCTGCAAGTGTAGAGACACATACGTAGGCACAGAAGGCAAGACACATGCACACATGAATGAAGACTGAGAAAATAATAAGTGAACAAGTGGATAAGAAGGGGTGATACCATCAGGAATGGAAAAAATGGCAGAAAAGAGAAAAGCAAAGTAGGATTTTTAAAGCAACTTTTGAAACTGGGAGGGCAGATGTTTAAAAGAATCAAAGATCTGGAATAGATATATTAATAAAGGCCAAAACCTGTGGCTTATGATATTCCCAATACACAAGCGAATTAATAAATTTAATGCAGCAATCACAGATTAACCCAGGGACTTTGAAGTCATTAGAGTTATAGCATTTTGTTCTTTTATGATGCCTGGGTTGACATCTGTGCACATGTGTGTGGGTGCATGTGCATAGACCTGGGTGACTGAGAGATGAGGTTTAAAAGCACACTCTTATCTTCTAGGAAGCCTCTGCTGCACTCTTTTACAACCAAAATGTGGCTAAGAAAGTAGCTATCGGTCTGACTGAATGAATACCTTTGTAATTTGTTCCAAACATGCTCCAATCCCTTGCCAATGCTACATGATCCAGCCAGATATTACAATTATTGATATATTAGGTATATGAAAGAAATGGGTGGTTTTAAAATAGTTTGTTCCATCTGTGTGAGTAATGTGGGTCTTGCCACCTTGTAGCCTCACAAATCAATATCCAAATTCAATGACAAACTTTTCAAAAACATAACTCATTAAGCTTTAGTGCTACTTAAGACAAGGACCTTGCTTGTGTGAGGCCATCAAACATGGGTATTGACTCTCTAGGACATTTTTAAGGCTATTTATATCACAATAAAGGCACTTTATTAGCCTCATCAATCAGGAAAGTGCAGATTTCACCCTGGAATCAGCCTGCCTGAGCCTGTGGAACAAGGAAGGATGAGAAATTATGGGATGCATTATCTTCAATCTCATTTGAAACTTCGTAATCGAAACAACGGACAAGCACAGTTTATTGCTTTTAAAATAAATGAAGGAGGTACCACTAATGTAATCATGAAAGTTTAGGCTTCTGGTTGTTTTTCCTCTACTTGACAGGGAGTTGGTGGTCAGCCAGCAGTGATTTCTGGTTTCCATGGTTAGTGACACAATACATCTGTCATTTGACCAAGATGAATGTACTGGTCAGGCAGTAGGGCTGCACCCAGCTTGTAGCAGCAGAGGCCTAGTCTAGTGGTTTCTGTCATCTGTGACTTGGCAAGTAATACTGTCTTTCACTGGGTCAGGAAAATACGATCCCATAGTAGTTAACAGTTCAGTCTCCAGAGCCAGACAAAACTGGGTTCAAATTCCATCTGACCTACTTGAGCTGAAATTTTCTCATCTGAATAACAAGGTATCTACATCACAGCACAGTTGTGAAATTAACATAGATAATGCCTTGTACATAGTAAGCACTCAGTGAATGCCCTTTATAAACGTTGTTAATTTTGACAGATATTTGCTTCTAGTTGGTATCTAGGACTGATATGAAAAGATACATGGATGGTGATGTTTGTAATATTAAGAGCATTGACTTTAGTGTCAGAGTTAGATTTGAATCCTAGTGTTGCCATTTATGAGCTGTGAGATCTTGAGTAATAAATTCATTTCCTGAGTTTTAGTTCCCTAAGCTATAAATGGTTATGAACATAATAATGCACCCCCTCAAAGTAGTGAAAACCAGATGGAAAATTCGTTTTAGTGATGTATGTTGAGTGCTTTCTATACTCCTGTAGTGCCTTACACATCATAAACAGTCCATCAATAACATTTTTATACTATTATTGAGAGCCCAGCAAAATTTCAGAAAGATATATTAATGTGGATTCCCATAGAAGTACTAATTTCATAGATCTTATTCATGTACACAGCAGTATTTATTGAGTACCTCCTAGAGGGAGACACTGGGGATAGAGGGAAGAACAAGGATGGTAAGTTCTCTGCTCATGGATCTTATGATCTCAAAGAAGGATATGCACTGTTATAAAGTAACTAAAACAGGGTAATGTGAAAGAGAGTGACTGGAGGATGGAAAGAGGCTATGTGGTCAGCACAGGCCTCTCTGATTTGAACTAAGAAAGAATAATCAATGCAAATATTGAGGAAGATGGTGGACGAACACATGAAGCAAAGGGAACTGCAAGAGCAAAGTCTCTGAGACGGCAACAAGCCTGATGAGGAAGTCCAGGATACCTTAAGCACGGTGAAAAGGGGATGGGTTGGCCGAATATGACTTAAAGGCAAGGTCATGTAAGGACATTGAAAATTATGACAGTTTGGATTTTATTTTAAACACACTGGATAGCCACTAGAAGATTTTTGGAGCTGGTGAGGATAGGGATCACACAGTCTGATTTCTTTCTTTTTTTTTAAGGTAATTCTGACTGCTGGGAAGAGAAAAGATGGTGGTGATTTATAATAAAGTTACAGACATGTGTACTAGGGCTTTATCAGTGGAGATGAAGGGAGGTAAATGTAAATGGGCATGGGGTGTATTTTCCTTGTTGGATATGCTGATTAATTTCACAAAGAGAATTTTTAAAGAGAAGAATCAAGTATGGCTTGAAAATAGTTTATTTGAGAAATTTTTTTTTAAACCAATAATAACTCCTGTCATTTTCAGCTTGGACTAAATCAATCCAAATGAGACCCCGTCTTTTATTCTAGGTAATGCTGTGGCCTGTTCAGATCATATTCTAGTTCAGTCCAAAGCTTATTCCTCCTTCCCAGCTTCTTCAAAAACCTCTAAGAGACTGGAAAAATAGTTTGTTCCATCTGTGTCACTAATGTGGGTCATGCCACCTTGTAGCCTCATAAGTCAATATCCAAATTCATAACAGAAAAAAAGTTGGGAATACACCAATTGGGAAGGAGAACTCACCTTGGATATCATGTTTTGAATTTTATCTTGTGGTATATACTATACTCTGGATTTATTTAAATGATATCATTTAGTTCATTCAAAAATGCTATTAAGTGAAATATAAACTTCATGAAAAAAGGATTTTGATTATTTTAATCAAAGTGTATTGTAGAACCCTAGAATAATGCCTAGCTATGGCTCAAAAATAGATGTTGAAATAATTACGTAGGTATTATTTCCTCAATTTAAATATGGAAAGAGGCTGGGTCTGTGGCTAATGCCTGTAATCTCAGAACTTTGAAATGCCAAGGCAGGAGGATCACTTGGATGCAGGAGTTCAAAGCCAGCCTAGGCAACATAGGGAGACTCCATTTCTACCAAAAAATATATGTATATATATTAAATTAAATTAATATTAGCCAGGCATGGTGCCACACACTTGTGGTCCTAGTTACTTGGAGGCTGAGGTGGGAGGATCACTGGAGCCCAGGAGATTGAGGCTGCAGTGAGCTGTGATCACGCCACTGCACTCCAGCCTGGGTGACAGAGTGAGATCCTATCTCCAAAACAAAAAACAAAAACAAAGCAAAACAAACAAAACAACAACAACAAAAAAAAAAGGAAAAAAAAGTAAATGTGGAAAGAGATTCACCAAGTTTAAGCTAACTGCTCAAAGTTTCCTAGGTTGTGCACCTGAGGTAGAATTTGAATTTATCTTTTGTCCTGCCTATAGCTGATTGAACAAGAAGGCAAGTGCTAATCTTTCAAATCTTTTTTCTGCAGCTTCCTGTTATGAAAATGTCTGTTTCCTTCAAACACAGAAAAGAGGCTTGGCCGTGTCACAAAACTTTGGTTTAGTGATCTGAGGCACCATTTATAACCAAGATCTCATTCTATTTTGTCAAACCCTTCCCTATACCTCATTTATAACAACACGGAAGAGGTGTAGGAGATGGTGTGAAGGAACAGGGACTAGATTGATAGGGAGACAGAGGTTCTCTCACGTGAACATCACAGGGTAATTCAAGCACATGTATTTTGGGACATATGTATTCCAGGGCCAACATAAACTATAAACTCATTCACTGAAGCAAGCCAAGACATAATTACTAATTGTTTAAAAATTTAAAAGTTATTCTAGTTTCAGAGAAATAAAAGTGCTAAATTATTATGAGATGTAAGAGAGAGAACTAAAGGGAAAAAGGAGAGAATAAGAAAAAGGAGACATTTGTTAAGAAAAAAACGAGAGAAAAGATTGGCTGAGACTACTCGCCACCTTAAAAATTTGTGGACTTTTCATTCATGAGAAGTTCACGAGAAACATGTTATGTGGTGGAAGATTATATTTCTCATTAGTGCTCAAGTCCTTACAGTACCTGTTTCACAAAGGAAAGATGAATCAACATGGCTTATTACAAATAATCCCTCAGGGGTGGAGCAGTGGGAGGAAGGCCACTTGACCTTTTGCATTTTCTTTATCCCAATCCTCATTGCTAAGGGGTGCTGGCTGAGGCTTATCACAGCTGCTGAGTGTCCTATGGGGAATGGTATGTGCTACCAGGTTAAAGATGCTTGTCTTTCAAGGCCTCCAGGGATGTTAATTTGGAGCCATTTAGACTTTTTTTTTTTTTTTGATAGTTCTATAGTTAACATGTTATTGAGCTACAACAGATTAGAAAAGTAGTTTTCAGTGTATAGCAGCAATTGTTCAAAGGAGTTCTTGGACTTTGAAATTTGGGAGCAAGGCCAGGCACGGTGGCTCATGCCCATAATCCCAGCACTTTGGGAGGTTGAGGCAGGTGAATCACTTGAGTTCAGGAGTTCGAGACCAGCCTGGTCAACATTGCAAAACCCCGTCTCTACTAAAAATACAAAAATTAGCTGGGCGTGGTAGTGTGCACCTATAATTCCAGCTACTCGGGAGACTGAGGCACGAGAATCACTTGAACCCAGGAGGTGGAGGCTGCAGTAAGCTGACATCGCACCACTGCACTCCAGCCTGGGAGACAGAGCAAGACTCCATCTCAAAAAAAAAAAAAGAAAAAGAAAAGAAATTTAGGAGGCTACTGTTATAGGACTCAGTCTCTCTCTCTGTTTGACACTGTGGGTTGGGTTTATCATTAAGTACTTTTTTTGGCTACAAGATACAGAAAACTTGACTTAAAGAGCCTAAGCAACGAGGAAGATTATTGGTTTGTGTAAGTGAAAAGAAAAAATGGAGGGGTATCTGCAAATGTAGGATGACCACTTTTTCTACGCCTTGCTTTACTTGCTTTTCTATTGATTTGTTCCCTGGTAGACTCTCTATACATGGTCAGAAGATGGCCATGCAGAAGCTCCAGGCCTTGCATCTTCTGGGCTTTAAGTCCCTTGGGGGAAGAGCAAGTATCTCTTTCCCAGAAGACAGTAAAAGTCTCAAACCATCTCATTTTATTTCACTGACCCTGATTGGGTCACATGCCTGTACCTCAACTCATAATAGTTTCATTGCTTGGTGGCTCAGGCCTGAGTACCATCCCTGCAGTCAGCAAGTTTTCGGCCAACCTACAAACGCTGAAAATGATAAAAGTGTGGAACCTTAGGCCGGGCGAGGTGGCTCACGTCTGTAATCCCAGCTCTTAGGGAGGCCAAGGTGGGCGGATCATGAGGTCAGGAGATCGAGACCATCCTGGCTAATACAGTGAAACCCTGTCTCTACTAAAAATACAAAAAAATTAGCCAGGCGAGGTGGAGGGCGCCTGTAGTCCCAGTTACTTGGGAGGCTGAGGCAGGAGAATGGCGTGAACCTGGGAGATGGAGCTTGCAGTGAGCCAAGACCGTGCCACTGCACTCCAGCCTGGGCGACAGATCAAGACTCCGTCTCAAAAAAAAAAAAAAAAAAAAAGTGTGGAACCTTAAACAGTTGTTACCGGAAGTGAAGTGAATGAATTTTGAATGACTAAAGAACAACATACACTCATTAGAGCAAGGCCCAGTGAGAGAAGTGGAAGAATTCGAAAAGGGAGGAGGAGGAAAAGAGAGGAAAAGGGGGAAGAAAAATATCTATATAGATATGATCTCTACCCACATATATGTTTAGGATTTCTGGGTAGGTAATTTTTTCAATGTGGAAAAACCTGTAGCTATACACTGTATTAAAAACTGTACTTTCTATACTTTATTTTTAAAATTATATTTACAAAATACTTAAAAATAGGGAGAGTGAGAATTAAAAAGTAAGAATAAGAATAGATTATTTTGGATTCCCATTATTACCATCAAAAAGAAGCCCATTTTCAAATTATATTTTCAACACACTTAATGATGTAGACAAAAAATTACAAGTATCTCTCATTGCAGATCTGAAGCCTTTAAAATGACAACATTTGTAATCCATGTTGTTGTTTATTGAATGCTTAATATTTTTCCAATCAGGTATTAGATGTCTGAGCTATGTTCAAAAGGACAAGCCACCTCATGTAAGAACTTTGGCTACCTACTTTTGTACCTATACCGTTGAGATATAATCAACACAAGTTTTCTATTTGTATGTTTATAATCTTTGTCTTTGTATACTAAATTACCCATCAGCTTGTTGGACTCTTTAATTAGCCAAATGACCTTCCGAAGGACTCCAGGGACACAGACAATTTTGTAAATAAGGGAAACAGGTAATGAGGGGATAGGAGAGGATAGTGGCGGATGTATGAAGTAAAGGAAAAGAGAAAGTCAGGTAGGTAGGGCAGCCATGAAATGAGCTAGAAAGCATATTTTTCAGCACAATTACCCAGAATATTTGTCTCTTTAAAATACTGTCCTTGAAACTACTGAGAGTGTTCCTAGATATGCTTGGAAAAGCTTGTCGTCTTTATGTTTGGATTCTGCAATAAAAGAATATTGGGCTGCTGTTTCTGGAATTGGTGTCCAGAATACAGTGAATATTAAAAGTGAGATTGATAATCCAGTCTCCAAATCACCCTCCAGATGAACACATAAAATCTGAAGTCCAGTGCCTCTCTTAAGGCTTTACTTTCCACTGGGCTGACCTCCAGAAGAGACGGTACATCCCCGAAGGG